>NC_000010.11:13494848-13646363 GCF_000001405.40 Homo sapiens | reverse complement strand
CACAATCAGTTCTATGCTGCCAAAGATTAAAAATAAATAAAAACATAAAAAATTAAGAGGGGCCAAGAGGAAGACATTCTTTCTGCAAGGAAATTTCTTTTAAATTCTGAACTGCTACTACACACAAGTGAAAGTCAACCCTATGTAAACTGGTGTCCTCTCTCTAGCCCTCTCCCTTACTGGCCCACTTCTCTCTCCGTAGAGAGCCTGAAAAACTGCCCCAATGCCACGGTAAAGGCGAGGAAGTCTTGGCTGGCGTTGCTGACTCACAGTCGCCATCCATCTGGACACAAAGAGAGACCTGTGGGAGTCGTAGAGGGTACTGTTAGCCCCGGTCCATGCAGGGGGTTCAGCCGAGCCCAAGACTCAAAGCTGCTTTCCTTTCAGGATTTGTAGTAACGTAAGGTGATAATGGCCAAAAGTGGTTCTCTCTCATTAAACCAACCAGTAAAAGCGTATCCTATTTTTTTGCACAAGGTGTTTCATTTTCGTTTTTATGGGAAACCAAGGGAAAAGCACATTGCGATCCATTCAGTGTTTAACTGTCGTGGCTCATTTTCTGTTCGTTAGCACTTGTGTGACAAAAGAGCTCAGATCCGACTTCTCCTATGTGTCACTTATTCCAAGAACCCAACTATGCCCTTAGGTAGAAAGATTTGACTCGTGTGTCTACTAGCCAACAGGCAGAGCAGGGTTGAAAAAAATATCAGCTCCCAAAGGGCCCATGTGTCTACATCATCAGTTACTGTCATGCACCACATTTGTGTGCAGATACCAAAAGAGGAGGAAAGAAGAAAAAAATTAATGTGTGGGAGCTGCACGTTTACATGTTTTGAGCTATGCTTCAAACACAACTGGAAAGCCATCAATCTTCAAAGGCCTCAAAAATACTTTTATAGTAACAAGTGCACGACTTTAGTTGGGTTATTCAAGATGGCACAAAAAGGTTTCCGCAGAGGTGGTATGCTGTGCTTTTGGCGCAAGTGGTGGGGGGATGGGGTGGGGGTGGAATTTTTTTCTCACTCTAATGACTTCCTATTGGAAAGGCATTGACAGCCAGGGACAGGAGCCAGGGTGGGGGTAGTTTTGTGGGAAAGCAGAACTGAAGTTAGCTTAAGCATAAAAACAAAGAAAAATCTTCGCTTTTCATGTATGTGGAATCCAAGAATAACCATAGGCTCTACCAGACCAGAAGGGTAAGGATGGACACTAAAATGAAACAAATACCAAGGTATTCCTTCTGCTGCAGCCTGGAGACCACCGAGAGTCGAGCTGGGGCACACACACACCTGGCCGGGACCCGGCAGGGACAAGGCGGGCCGTGGCCTCCTCCACCAAGTCTCTCTAGACAATTCAGGGCCTGCTTTCCCCAGCTCCATGCATGGCTGGACTGGTGATTCCAGGGTGCAGAAGGGATTCATATTCCCAGAACGCTTTAAGTGTACACCTGCAGGATAAAGAGATACCGGTTACATTATTAAATGATTCTAGGGATTCACTGGGGGATATTTTTGTTGCTTTTACTTTCATGGTTAGAGCTACAAAGAACAGTGATTTTTTTTTTTTCTCCCTTCCCCATTCAGAAACATTATACATTGGGCCATTTTTCTTTCTCCCAAAGAAGATTCATGGATAGTCAGACTGAACTGTGTGCAACAGGAAAAGTCAAAAGGGAAAAGGTAGCTGATGAGGTTACATGGTTACATGTTCTACATCATGCATAGTAGCTTGAAATCTAGTCTGGAGAAAACTGGATCAAGATTCTAGCCCACTGGAGTTGCAAGGAATGAGAGGCAAAAATTCTAAAGATTTGGGTTATATTTTCAACTTGGGGGACAGAGAGAAATGGAGAGCAGGAATTACAGTTCCAACAAACATCATGATAGTCTGGTAGTCAAGACAGAGATTAAGTAAAACAGGTTTTACTGTTTAGCTGAGTTCAGTTAATACAAAATGTACATAAAACGTTAGTCCTTTGAGACTGACATGATTAATGATCAGTGTGGTGGGAAATGATGTAGTTATTGTACACAAGCACTTGCAAACTCTTTATCCCTATTTCTTTAAAACAAAATAAGGTGAAATACGAAGTCCTTGGTCTGATATAAAGCCCCTATTGGATTCTTCGGATGCGTAAAAGAAATTGCCTGTTTCAGCCAGAAGACTGGTGAAAACACATACATCAGACTATGTTGTGAGCCAGGTTGATTTTTTATTTTATTATATGCAGGTGAGTGTTGAAACTGTTAAAATTCCAATTTGTTTTCATTCAGTATTAGTTTAGTTCTAAATATAGCAAACCCCATCCAGGTGCTATCAGATGACCAGTTACTGCTTAGTTAACTAGGTGTAAAGTTTTACATATACATTAATGTCAATAGTTTATTACAAGTTGTGTAAAATGGACTCTAGTTTAATAATGGGGGAAAAAAGATTAGGTTGCTCCTGAAACTGACTGTAGAGCATGTAAAATGATTTTACTGGATTCTGTTCAACTGTAATCAATGAAAAAGATGTACGTTGTAGACAAAGTTGCAGAATTAAAAAAAGAAATCTGCTTTTAATTTATTCTTTTTGTATTAAGAATTTGTATAGTACCTTTACATTTTGCAAAACAGTGTTGTCAACACTTATTAAAGCATTTTCAAAATGAAAAGATCCCAGCTGCCTCCTGGAGATTTTGTTCCTTTGTCTGTCAGCGATAAATGCTTGCGTGTGCACTGGGAATCTGTAATTCAGGTGCTTGTGTCCTCAGTGGGCTCCTTTATTAAAGTCAATCTATAGATGGCATTTTTATGAGCTTGCTAGATGATACAGAGAAGCTTGGTTTGTTCAGCTGAGGTGAATTCCCTCTTATTCTAGTTTCCTTCTGTTAACTGTGCAAGATAATATTGTCTAAATTATGTATTCCTGCTACTACAAAAAAGGACTTGAGATTAGAGGTCAATCTTTATGAGGATACTATCTCAGCCTTTGCATCACTATTCACTGCAAACGGCTCCCTGTGTGTAATATGTGCCAGCATGTGTACTGTCCCTGCAAGACAGTCCACGGCAGGAGCAATGAAGGAAGCTAGGCTTTGAGGGATCGTCTTTAGTCTCTCCATGTTGTCCCTCATTCCATGTAGGATGCAGAGGGTCACTCACACAGGCTGCTCAGGCTCTCTGTGACTACCGTTAATCCTCTGTGCTCACACTGCAGCTCAAACCCTGCCACTGACTCTCTAAATCACATCACGAGAGCCAAGCGCCTATGGGGACTGCAAGTACAAAGAGTCCCTGACTTACAGATGAAATGGTGACTGACTGACTTGAGTAGTGACTGCTGCAATCGAATCCCTGGCCCCCTAACTTAATAGGCATCTCCTCCTAGCAAAACTGGAAGTCTGGCCTCCAATAGCATCCCTGCATGAAAAACTCCTGGATGGGAAGCCTTACAGAAGCCTTGGCCACTAGAGCTAGTTGATGCTGCCGAAAAGGAAAACAATCCACTGAGAATCACATCTGGAAGTGAGCCCATCAAGAGAGTGTTCTCTACTTCCTACACCCTAAAAACTGCCCGTGGGAGAGCCTGAAGCCTCCTCTCCTTGGGGAAGCAACCAGGCCATCTCAAAATCATCTACACTTGAAAAAAGACAAAGGGCCCTCACGTAAGTCTTCTACATGTAAATATGTCACAGCTCAGGAAATTAGCGTATCATCTTCTCATTAAGCTCTACCACATGAAAGCAACTGGTAGATAGGAAGATCCTCTTCCCATTTCTTTCCCACTGCTTCCTACTTTTCACCTCTTCATCTATCAATCTGTTTATCTGCCCTTTCATTGTGCCAAAAAAGGTGATTCCGAACATTTAATTATTAGAGAACACAAAGTGAACACCCCACTCCTGGTAGAAAGTATTACAAACAGCCAGCTCTTTATTTTCCCAGGATACCATTTCAAAAAGGCTCTATGTAAAACTCTCTAAAAAGAGGAATATGAAGTCACCACTGATGAGGGCCAGCAGGCAGACAATGGGTCTCCAACAAAGTCATTTCACTGCACATTTGGTGCAGAGTTCCAGTTCTTAAAAGCTTACTCTCATGGACGAGACAAACAGGCACACAACCACATTTATGGGGAAAGGAGGACACTAGCATTAAACAGGAGGAAGAGATTAAAATTATTCCCAAGGATAAGAGATCAACAGGGCATCTCTCATTGGTTACCTGAGTTGAGTGGTCAGAGATGGCAGAGACAAAGTAGAAGAGCTGCAGAGGTATAACCTTTATGCCTTGCACAAAGTCATGCTCCCAGCAAAGTCGATACGTACTCCAGCAAAGCTGAAGAACCTGCACTGCATTCAGAAGAATAACACAGTGTGGAGAGTAATTTCAAGAGCCCATAGGATTATAATGGCACCAAGATTGATTTTTTAAATCAGAAACCCATTTCTATCTTCATAAATTTTTATCCCCACGAGCTAATTGTTTTCTCCTTCATTTATCCATTTTCTCTCAAACCCACTCCAATTATGCTTTCACCCCTCCCCACTCTACTAAACCCACTCTTGCCAAGGTCAACGATGACTCCCTGCAATGCCAAATCCAATGGTTAATTCTCTGTTCTCATCTAATATCACTTGCCAGCCACACTTTGGAGTGTGAAGAAGTGGGACACTTCATTGAAACACTTTCTTCACTGGGATGTCAGGATGCCACATTGTCCTGGTTTTCCACCTGGTATCGTAGTCCAGGGCTCTCCTTTTCAATCTCCTTGGTAGTTTTTCTTCCCTGGCTTCTTGGCATTGGTGTCCCCGGGCTCAGTCCTTAGACTCCTTCCCTTTATTATTGACAATTATTCCTTAAAGTTCCCATCTACTCTCATGGCTTTAAATGCCATCTTTATGCTGATGAGACTGATATTTATCCCTATATCCTAGACCTCCTCTCTAAAAGTTGTACATTCCACTGCCTACCCAATATCCCCACGTGGATGTCTAATGTGCTAACATGTCCTGAACTAAACTCTTGACTGTCCCCTCCAAACCTCACCAATGAATGGCCCTCCCCAGCTCAGTTACAGGCAACTCCAGGCCTTCCAGTGTTCAGGCCAAAAATCTGGGAATCATCCAAGCTTTCTTTTTCATCAGCTTTCCTTTCCTCACACCTCACATCTGCACAAACAAAACAGATGCAAATTCCCTGCCCTTATAAGACTTAATTACACTGGAAGTAGAGGGGGCCAATAGAAAGTAAATTAGATAACATAATAGATAAGAAAGCAGGATAGTGGAAGATTTAGCCTATGACAGAAAGAGGAACAGCTTTTTCTCCAAATCAAGTAAGACAAGATGCTGGTAGATTTGGAGGTAGAAAGAGGCCTTAAGATTGCCTCCATATTCAAGCTGTATGAGAAGGGTAGGTTAGGCCACCCTCCAAGTGAGATAAAAAGGAGGCAGCAGGGTAGGATCAGGATAGAGCAGAGGCATCAGGAGAGCTATGGCAGGGAGGATCCAGCTGACATTGGATGCTTAGATTGTGAATTTCCTCCAGGGCAGCTACTATCATGTCAGAGCATGGGAGGAGAGAGGTTGGAATGACTCTGGCTTGGGGTTGTCAGCAGGTGTGGCAGGACAACAAAAACATGTGAGAGTAAAAGGGACTGGAAGGTGACTGAAATGATGGTAATGGGATCCAGACTGACTAAAAAGAAAAGGGAAGCTGAGAAGGTGCTATTAAGTAGGAGAAAACAGACTGATTGGACATAGGTCTTGAGGAGACTGAGGAACAGCAGGGTAGGAATGAAGGAGGGAGCAAAGCAAGGTCTTCATGACCAGGGTGTAGGTAAAACATCAGTTTCCCCTAATCTCGCAGCTATCCCCACGGGGGTGAATCACATCATCTAGGGAGGGATCCCTATGTTGTATTGAGGAAAGCTAGTGAAAAATCCACCTGAGCTTGGGATTGCGTAGAAGAGGACCTGGGTCTCATGGCTCTTTTCCAGGAGCTGAAAACCTGGTTGCCTATTATATCTCGGACCAAGACCATAGCAATTATTCTAAGAGAGATGATTGAACAAACAACTGTCAACAGATAGTGAAGAGGTAGGAGGCAAAAAGGGGACTCTCAGGTATCACAGAGATAACTGCAATAGGAAGCCGCCACGCTTAGGGCTGGGAACCAGAGGCAAGGCTGGGATCATTAAAATGTGGAAGCTTTTCCAGGAGCTGGGAGTGAAACCTCTCAGGCGTGGACACCACTCTCCTGGTAACTGGTACCTCAGAAATGTGGGGACTCCACAGAGCTCGGATTCAAACCTCTGAAGAGGCGCCACCGGCTGACGGTGCGGTGATCTTTGAGTGGAGAGATGAAGCTGGTTCTACAAGTGTGGAAAACCGCACCCTGGAACCCACTATTCCTTCAGGAGTGAACAGCCACTGCTCAGCTTCTGGAAAACCACGGCTGTGCCATCGTTGTTAGAAACAGAAAGCAAATAGAAGGGGGGAGCTCCCTTCTTCCCGCCTCCAGGTTCCAGTCTCTCGTGTCCAATCCTGGTATACCCTAACAAAAAGCTCTCCAGCAAAGGAAAGATGTGGTTTGCAGAGTCTCATGACAAAGCAGAGTATGAAGATGTGTCTGGAGCTGAGACAACAGCCTCACAACCAGCGCCCCTACTGACCAGAAATTGGACCTTTATCCTGAGTCCTGGCTAGAAATTCCTAATCAAAGGATGAACTAACAGGTTCTAAAATCTCAAAGAGACCTCTAAAATCTATGCTATAATATTTAAGACAAACTAATTTTTAGCTTTTTAATTTTTAAAAAACTCTATAAAGGACAAAAACACAAGCACTTTTTTTTTTGGCCCACGTTAGTGTAACGTGAGTTGCCATCTCAGACGGAACTGTAGTAATAACAAGTCAAAGCATATCAAGCTGCTTTTCCCAAAATGATGAAACCAGAGCCATGTATTTTCTGAAGTATCTTTCACATCTATAACAGATACTCAGAAGAGAGACTAATTCTCTCAAAGTCTCTTCTTACTCTGATGGAGATTTGGAGAGAACACAAGAGGAATCAGAGCTAAATGCTTTTGTCCAATAAATTGAGTGATTCAGAATCTTGATGACAGGGCAGAAGAACTCCTTTTGGCATCTGCTCCAGTACCTGGTTGTCCTTGAGGTGCTTTTAACATCAGTTCCATCTGTGGCTTTTCTGTAACTGAAATCACAATGTACCAACATCCACAGAACCACTTCAAGTAAATGCTCTCACATCTATTTTATCTTAGGAGGATGTGGCAAAGTCCGATTTTATTCCAGTCGAAATGAACAAAGACCTCAGCACCATGGCACACTTGCCACAAGTCACTTGATGATTTTGAAGGTCAAGAAGTTTGAGTAATGCATACATTGCTTGGGGACTGAGTTCAGCAGAATATAATGGAAACCCAACTTACCCAATACTGTTCTCATATAACATGAGGCCCACAGGAAGGCAGCTGTGATGGTTAATTTTGTGTCAACTTCACTGGGGAAGACGGTACCCAAATATTTGGTTAAACATCATTCCAAAGGTATCTGTGAGGGTGTTTTTGGATGAGATTAACATTTGAATTGGTAGACCGAGTAAACACATGGCCCTTCTCAGTGCATACGGGCATCATTCAATCCACTGGTGGCCTGAATAGATCAAAAAGATGGGGTAAAGGAGAATTAGCTCTCTCTACGCTCCAGTCCACCTGCAGACTGGAATTACACCATCAGCTCTCCTGGTTCTCAGGCCTTTGGACTTAGACTAGAATTTACACCATTGACTCTCTTGGTTCTCAGGCCTTTGGATTCAGACGGGAGCTACACCACCAACTTTCCTGGGTCTCCAGCTTGCGGGGTACAGATCACTGGACTTAGCCTCCATAACTGTTTCAACCAATTCCTTATAATAAATCTCTCTCCCTCCCCCGCAACAACTTTCTCTTTCTCCCTATCTCCTATCTCTTCTGTTTTTCTGTAGAACCTTAAAAAAGCAGTTCATGTTTTATACAAAATGATTTCATGATGCCATAAAAAAAAAAAAAAAAAAAGAAAAGCCAAGCTTTATCTTCTGCTCTGCCATCTTTAGCACATCTTCATTGTCAAGATTGCAGGATGGCCACCAAGCATCTACGCATCATGATCACAGGCAAAGGACAAAGTATGTATGTCAGCTAAGTCTGTCTCTTTCTCTTAGTAAAGCAACAGGTTTCCAGGCAGTCCCACTCACCCACAGACTTCTATCCGTATCTTCTTCGCAGGACCATGTCATACGACCAACCCTAACTGCAAAAGGTCCTGAGAGGACAAGTTGTTTTAACTGTGCATATTACAGTTCTAAACAAATTAGGGCTCTGTTAGTAGAGAAGGAGAGAGAATGAACATTGCGTAAGTAACTAGTAGTGTCTACACCACACATTTATGGCACATGAACTTGCACATCAAAAGAAGCAAAACAAAAACAGCCATATCTGAAATGAAATAATCCAATACAACAGTTAACAAAAAAGTGCAAACATTCACATAATTTCCTCTTCTCACAAATCTTACACTCTTAAACATGCCACTATGATGACATCATTAAACAAGAGGAAGAATTGTTATTTAAGCTTGACATATGATTTGATTTTTATAAAATCTATTGGGCAAAGATAGTTGGCAAAGGTTATGTCAATATCTGAGTCAGTCATAAGATTATTTCTCCAATGCATAAAAGGTAACCTGGCACAAAGGGTGGCCACCAAGTGGGAGGCTTATTTGCAATACAGATATCTAGCCAGAATACAGAAAGTACTATAAATCAGTCAGAAAAAAGCAGGCAATTCAGTAGGGGAAAAATGGACAAAAGTAAGCATTGAACAGGAGCTTCACAAAAGATAACATCCAAATGGCCATTAAACATATGAAAAAAGGTACTCAACTATATTAGCCATTAGAGAAATGCAAATTAAAGCCACAACGTGATACCATTATGACTACCAGAAGGGCTAAAATGAAAATGACAGAGGATATATCAAGTGTGGCAAGGAGGCAGAGTAACTGGAACTCTCAACTCCTGCTGTGGGAATGTGTTAACTGGTATAAGGTTTTCCTTTGGAAAACTCTTTGACAATAACTCTAATAGCCAAGTTTATACATACCCTATGTCCCAGAAATTTCATACCTTGGTATATATTCTTGTGAATATAAATAGAGAGATGTATATTCACCAAGAAACACATATAAAACATCCATGCAAAAACCAGAAACAACTCACATGTCCATCATCAGTAGAATAAATTGTGAGACACAGCATCAAGACTGAAAAACCACAACTACACACATTGGGGATGAGTAAGTATCAGAACCCCTAAGCTGAGCCAAAGAAGTCAAGCACATACTGTTTGATTCCATTTATAAACAGGCAAATTGTTAAACACAGGCAAACGGGGTTCTTTTTTGG
Organism: Homo sapiens; assembly: GCF_000001405.40. Classification (NCBI taxonomy): domain Eukaryota; kingdom Metazoa; phylum Chordata; class Mammalia; order Primates; family Hominidae; genus Homo; species Homo sapiens. The sequence continues at coordinate 13,636,908 of NC_000010.11, read as the reverse complement.
AATGACGAAAGTGTTCTAAGACTGTGGTGATGGTTGTGTAACTGTGAATATGCTGACAACCTTTGTACACTTTAAATGGGTACAACTGATGGTATGTGAATTACACGCCGATATTTTTTAAAAATTATGATGTTAGAAATTAGGACCATGGCTATGACTAGAAGAGGACATGAAGAGATTTCTGGGGAGTTAATAACAATTACCTTTTCTGATTGGGGCGCTAGTTACTTTGTTTACTGTGTGAAATGTTTACTTTGTGAAAAACCTATCATGATGTGATACTCTAGTAATTTTTCTGTATGTATGTTATACTGCCAATAAGAAAATTTACATTAAAAGAAATGTAATTTAGCACTGAGTCTTAGGAAATAATTTTCAAAGGGCCAAGCCACTGTCCTCTCAACAGACACTTGACGCGTAACACTAGACTCCTTGCAACTATTCTTGCCCCAAACCTATCTTATACTTAATTAATTTATTACTTATTTTTGAGACACGGTCTCACTCTGTCACCCAGGCTGGAACGCAGCAGTGTGATCACTGCTCACTACAGCCTCGACCTCCTGGGCTCACACAATCCTTCCACCTCAACCCAAGTAGCTGGGACTACACGTGCGCGCCACCACACCTGGCTAATTTTTGTATTTTTTGTAGAGATGAGGTCTCACCATGTTGCCCAGGCTGGCCTCAAACTCCTGAGCTCAAGTGATCTGCCCGCCTTGGCTTCGCAGAGTGCTGGCATTACAGGCGTGAGCCACCACACCCAGCCAAACCTATCTCGTACTTTAACTGACCTCCCATTTATTTTGTAATACCTTGTTTAATCTTGCTTTATCCAACAATGTGCAACCAGCCCAAGGTGATCAGCTATACATACTGCCAATTTTCTAACAGATGGCTTACAAGTTTCTGTTCTCGGTTCTTCTATGGACGTCTCCTCATTTTAAACTTAAGAATTACATATTACGGCAGAAGTATTTAGCATTTTGAAGTACTGTAGGTTCTATAATCTGCTAAATTTCACACTAACAATGAGAGCCAAGTGTTATCTCCATATTAAAAAAAATCAAAAAAGAATTATAGTCCTTTTGTCCTAGATTCATCTAACAGGTCATTTCCTTCTTTAATTCTACTGATAATTGCTTTAATCGGTGGTTTTCCAAACAACTCCATTAAAAAGTGGGCAAAGGACACGAACAGACACTTCACAAAAGAAGACATACATGCAGCCAACAAACACAAGAAGAAAAGCTCAACATCACTGATCATTAGAGAAATGCAAATCAAAACCTCAATAAGCTACCATCCCACACCAGTCAGAATGGCTATTATCAAAAAATTAAAAAATAACAGATGCTGGTGAGGTTGTAGAGAAAAAAGGAACGCTTTTATACTATTGGTGGGAGTGTAAATTAGTTCAACCATTGTTGAAGACAGTGTGGCAATTTTTCAAAGACCTAGAGACAGTAATACCATTCAATCCAACAATCCCATTCCTGGGTATATAACCAAAGGAATATAAATCATTCTATTATAAAGACACACTCACATGTATGTTCACTGCGACACAATTCACAATAGCAAAGACATGGAATCAACCCAAATGCCCACCAATGATAGCCTGGATAAAGAAAATGTGGTACATATACACTATGGAATACCACACAGCCATACAAAGGAATGAGATCATGTCCTCTGCAGGGACATGGATGGAGCTGGAGGCCATTATCCTTATCAAACTTACACAGAAACAGCAAAGCAAATACCACGTTCTCACTTGTAAGTAGGAGCTGAACAATGAGAACACATGGACACACAGGGGTAACAACACACACTGGGGCCTGTTGGAGGATGGCGGGTGGGAGGAGGGAGAGGATCAGGAAGAATAGCTAGTGGATGCCGGGCTTAATATCCGGGTGATAGGATGATGTGTGCAGCAAACCACCATGACACATGTTCACCTATGCAACAAACCTGCACATCCTGCACATATACCCCTGAAATTAACATAAAAGTTTGAAATTCAAAAAAAAAATCAGTGGTTTTCAAACTGCTGACCACCATACATTAATGAGTTGTCAACCAATTTTGAGGATAACCACCAGCATATTTTTAAAAAGAAACACAACAGATTAGAAAACATAAGAATGTGCCTTGCACATGGTACGGCCAGTGACTTTGTTTCAGGTAGACGTGCCTGTGTACATGTAATACTGGGTCTCCATACACTTGTTTTGAGTTGTGGTCCAAAAGTTTCAAATTCTACAGCTTTTACACTTCTACTTCCCAGGATGGCCAAACTTAGAAAGGCAGGCGCAGACTGCACAGACTGCAACGCTCATGGTTCCTAACATCTCCTAAGTCTGAAAGGAAAAGCAGTTGACCGCAAAGGCAATTTAGTTTTGGCAAGTTGTAAAACTGTGAGTTAAGGAAGGCCAGGACAGCGGATTGCAGGAGTGACTCTTGACTGTCCCGGCCTGAAGCTCAGTGAAAGAGTCTGAGATCACCAAAAGGCAGCTCGAAACTTCTCAGCTGCTCTCATTGGTAAAATTATGTGTTAAGCTTGAACACTGTGAGAAAAAGTTGAGGAAGTTGGTGCTTACAGAGAGGGAAGAAGAGACTCAACAGAAGGAAGTGGCCTAGTGAGAGTGACCAGCAGAGGCAACACAAGGATTCATTTAAGCAAGTTGTATAAAGTTTACAATGGGGGAAAAATAAATAATCAATGCTTTCATGATAAATTGTTCTGATCAACGTAAAAATACATTCTTTTTTTAAATGAGCATGTTTTTCAATATTCTGAATGGGGTCAGCTCACACCATAGCTGCGCGGCTGGCCACACTGCCCTCCCTAGCTATTCCACACCACCAGAAATTATTTTTAAATTTCAAATGATTTTAAAGTTACTGTTAACCATTAAAGGACTAGCGTGTGGTTATAGTTCAGCCAATGGAACTGCAGAGTCTGTGATGAAAACCAGTTGCCATAACAGTGTTCCCATAGCAACCCTCTGGGGACTGGCGCTGGCTCTTGCGCTCTGGACAGCTGGAAGCTCTTGCGTCAATATACCGTGAGAAAGTACTTTTCAGCTCAAGACTCCCAATATGACACCATACCATAGATTGCTATGGGATAAACTTATTCTTTAGGGGCTTCATGGGAGTATACTGGGGGAAGGAGGAGGCACAATCCATTAAGTTGTGTTTACCAGACATGCAGACAAAGGAAAGAGGCAGAGCTCAGCTTAATGCTCCCTTTCATTGAAACTGCCCCACTTCGTTCTACCATCCTTCTGTGTGAAGCATTAACCTCATGGGGTGGGGCAGGGTAGGCGGGGGTACAAAGGTGAGCACATGTGGCTGAAAAGCAGCCAATGATATGAATCCCCAAATTCAAATCTATCAAAGATTTGGAAACACTGGTGTTTTCCAACCTGCTTTCTTTCCGGATACATTATTACTTTCTTTCCAACAAAAAGGTGGTTGCATTTCCAAGTTATTTACTGAGATCAAACCCTAGAGTGCTCTGAAGTGCTGGAGTAGGTCAGGATATCACCAGAAGGCAGAGCTTAGCATTAAAAGTCATACTGCTATCAAGCCTGTTTCCTAGTCCTCTGAGTTCTCACTGAGCGCTCTGGGCCCACAGCAGATCACTAAGTTCCATTCTTAGCGACAGCTGCCTGCCTAGCTCTGGTCTCTCAGGACCGCTCCCTTCCTCCTACGAGATTCGGACTGTCCTTTGTCTCTTTCCACATGTCAATTATCTTTGGCCTTAGCTTTACTTTCCTAATTGTCCCCCAAAGACTGAAATCACAGCCACAACCTCCAGATTGTTGCAGGCTCTATGCTGCAACACTGAAAAATACTGCTCTGTCTTTGCAGTTGGCAATGACACTCCTAGGAAATGCACTATTTACTTCTGAAGGGAACTCAGTGTTTTATGAAATTTGAATTCAGAGACACAACTCTTAATGGATAGGAGTCTGGGGAGGAAGAATGGGAGGAATTTATCTAAGGACTGTGATTGATTTTAAAAGGTATGTCTTCACTGTTTTATAAACAACTACAAACAGAAATACTTACCTGCTGAGCCAAATTTTCACGATTTGGAAATTGGGGAAGGGCATTTTTCTATATATCCTCATGTTATTTGCAGTCATTTGAAGATCTTTAACTTCAGGGAAATGGAAAACTTCTCTGAGGGGATCTACATCTTTGAATGTGCTTCCCTCGAATGGTCACAGCCCTGTGGAACAGGTTCCTTTTTTCTCTAAACCATCTACCACACTGACCAATTTTAGGAGGTACTGGTGTCACATGACAGTTTCTTTATATGGAACATTAACTAACTGCAAAACAGAAGACAACAAGAAATTAATGAACTACTCTACTGTGTGACCTGATGGTGAATACAGAAAAAGTAACTCGGAGAGTACTCATTCAACAATATTTATAAATAGGTCCTATATAAAAAATCTAGATTGCTGTCATATCTTACGAAAGTCTGTCTCTCACTTGCGCTGGTAAGTTACACTAAGCTCTAACTGATTTTTTTTTGCGGGGGGGAGGGGACAGAGTCTCACTCTGTTGCCCAGGCTGGAGTGCAGTGGCACGATCTCGGCTCACTGCAAGCTCTGCCTCCTGGGTTCACGCCATTCTCCTGCCTCAGCCTCCCGAGTAGCTGGGACTACAGGCACCCGCCACCATGCCCGGCTAATTTTTTGTATTTTTAGTAGAGACAGGGTTTCACAGTGTTAGCCAGAATGGTCTCTACCTCCTGACCTCGTGATCTGCCCACCTCGGCCTCCCAAAGTGCTGGGATTACAGGCGTGAGCCACCGCGCCTGGCCCCCTCTAACTGATTTAATAACAAGAAAAGGTTTCCAAATGAGGGAGTGGGAGGCAAGGAACCCCAATTCAATTCCAGACAGCGGACCTCAGCCACCACCATGCATATAACCATCAGAAACGATCCTGTCTAGGCACAGCAGAAGAGCACAAGTGGCCAAAACTGGCTTTTGAACCTCCCCAAGGTTTGAACCTCCCAAGAGGAACCAGAATAGACCGCTGTGAATCTACATCCCCCTACTTGGTGACATCTAGCTTCCACCACATCCCCGGCCCTTCTCAATGCAGAAGTGGCTGAAAGCAGGAACAGCCGCAGGGTTCAGATACAGTAAATGCTTAATCAACGTTTCCATGATTACTGCTGTTGCTGCTAACACCATCATTATTACTGTTATTGTTTTGTGAGGACACACTGCCCCTAAACACAGGGCTCCTGAAAGGGACTCTGGCTTCCCTCTAATGACAACAGTGACACAACAACTAATATTTACGAGCTCTTATTATTTGCCAGTGTGCTCAGCATTCTGCTTGAACACAAAAGTGATGCTACGAAGCATGGACTATTATTACCAACTACCATTTAAGACAACGAAGCTGACGCTTAGAAAGATCCAGTTGCTTGCTAAAGTCATACAGCGAGCAGGTGCAGAGCTGAGATGTGAAGCTGGAAGTTCTGCCTTTGGAGCCCCCGCTCTTACCGCTATCCAGCGCCACCACTCCACCTGCTCCGGGAGCATCCACTCACACATGCTGCCATGTGAACAGAGGCCTCTCGGGTTCTAAAGCATAGTAACAGGTCACAGTGATATCTGAGTATGACATTGTGCAACATTAGAACGAGCCCTCACTGTGGAAAACCAAGGCCAGGACAGACTCTCGGGTGGGGACATCAGTACCAGCACCTTCCTCCTCTGTTGGCGGGTGTGGCTGGGAACACAGTCTGCCCAGGTCTACCAGCATCATCACAATTTCCCCACTCTCCCTGGCATCACAAACCACTGTCCCACCTTAACCTTGATGCACTGGGGTTATTCTGTTTTGAACTTAGTTTGCTATGATGTGCCATCTCTGTTTCTTCAAACTTCTATTTCCTATTAATTGTATCTGTCCTGAGAGATGACAAATACTAAAATTTACACTTCTTGGAAGATAAAAGCAAGCTTTGAAATGCAAGAAAAATAACATTTGAGTTATACCAGTAATAATATTTACATTCAAATTCTATTGCAAGACAGCAAAAGTTCAGCAACATTTAAGGACTATAAAGTTTCATTCAATGGTCCCATGTTTTTGAAATATATAAAAATATTTTATATAAATATTACATAAAAGACAATAGGCAAATTATAATATTTTACTGAAATAATTAAGTCCATCCTCAAATGTTTCTTTTTAATCATCTAACCACAACTTTCGGGTCAACTGAAAAAAAGGTCATTTTAAACCCCCTTCTGTTGTCTATGGATTTAAATTGTGAGGAAAAATCTTTAAAACTTAATTTTGGACTAATTAAAATGAAAGCAAGAAAGAAAAATCAGCTTGCAGTCAGATATGAAATGAAGGCCAACAAAGTTCTTAAAACCAATCAAGAGTTACATCAGGTAGAACTCAGAGACTGGAAACTCCAGTTTTCTTCTTTCCTCATTCCTGTTGGTAATTCCAGAAGTCCACAGCCTGCTTCCCTAAGTTTCTTATTGTTATTAACACACCATACACAGATCTCACAGTGCATTGTACTCCACACATTTGGATGGGTCTGTAGGAAAGTGTTTCTGGCAAATGGTCATTAACCTCTTCAATCCCTAAGAAAATAAGGAAAACAAAGGTTGGTTATGACATGGTTAAATTATTCTTAACTGCCTTCCTCTGAACTCGTTATCAGTTTGTCAATGTCCCCATAAAATGCAGCAGACCCAAGCAAATTCACTCAGATGTATGCCTAGAGAAATTTTTCTTGTGCACCTGCAGGTCCACACAAGAATGTTCATCACAGAACTGTTCACAATAACAAAACCAAAAAACTGGTAACAACCCAAATTTCCATCCATAGGAGGACATATGAAAAAAACTTTAGTGTGCTCACAAATGGGATATCTTACAGCAGTAAAAATGAATTAACTCTAGCTACATGTAACAATTCGGCCAGTCTCAACCAGGTTCCAATAGAGAATTAAGCTCCAAATGCCCAGCCTAAGGCATCCATTGTATGTAACGAGATAACTTCTCCCTTATGCATCTAAAATTTAGGAGACTATTTATGTATCATGTTTGGAGGACTGAGAAAATACACTCCAATTATTTTCTGTGTTCTGTGGTCAAGATGAGGGGCTCTGGTTGGGAAAGGCCGATGTATATGAATCTTAGAAGCAATGTCGAAAGTAAAAAGCAAGTGGCATGAAGTGTTACTACCTTCAGTGACATCCTTTTCATAAAATTCAAAAACAAGTAAAAAATGTATTACTTAGAAATGCACATATAACATGGTGGAACGGTTTTTCAAAAAGAAAGGAAATGACAAACTTAAGTGCAAGGTAATGGTTACTTCTGGAGTATGGAAGGACAATATTGTTTCAATGGTTTTCAGAATGTTCTAGTTCTTAAACTGGGAGTAAGGCTTTTAGACATTCATTTTATTACTTACTTTATAACTTGTGTTTTACATGTATTCTTTTGTATGTACCAAATATTACACAATAAAACCACTTTAATATGTCAGTAAAAACTGAGTACAACATTCCAAGCGTGACCTGGCCATTCTTGCAGAATTCACTAGAAGTAGTCACTGCACTACTTTTGTTCTGTATCTTGGCAACTGTAACCAAGACCCTTAGCTGTTTTTAGACAACTACAATACACACACCTAATTCCCACCGATCTCACAAAATTCAAGTGCCTTTTGTCTCTACAGCAGTTTGGCCAGTTCTCCAGTGTATAACTTTATAGTTAGATTTTTTAAGCTGATGAAAACAACTATCACTATTCAATTTCATCCTGTCTCTTTCAACTCATCCTTCAGTCTGTGATCTTTCAGAATCCTTGGTCGACATTTAGCTTTAGTTATTCTTCTTAGCTTTCTCATCCACCACTCGGTAAACATGTCCTCTAAGTCATTATCCAAATACTCAATACCGTGCGCAAACAGGCCAGGGCAAGGGCAGAGACCTGAGACACACCACGATTGAGCTCTCTCCAAAACGATCTTGGGAAGAGTTTGTAACCAGCAATGAATCCTATTCACTGTGCAATTCATTAACACACACATTTCCTTGTTTACAAGGAAAGACTTTGCCAAAGGTCTTACTGAAATCTACGTAACTTAACACCTGTTAAGCTCAATAAAATCACCAAAACAAACAAACAACACAAAAATCCCTGCAAAATCTCATTGGTCCCATAGTAAGCAGACAACACAAATATTAATCACAGTCAGTATCCATGGGTTATGTGTCCATGGATTCAACCAACCCTGGTTAAAAAATATTCAGAAAAAAACGGCAACAAAAAAAGAATTAAAAATAATACAAATAAATATCATATAATAACTATTTAAATAGCATTTACATTGTGTTGGGTATTGTAAGTAATCTAGAGATGATTTAAAGTATACAGGAGGATGTGCATAGATTATATGCAAATACTATGTCATTTTCTATCAGGGACTTGAGCATCCAGATTTTGGTATCTGCAGGGTCCTGGAACCAATCCCTGAGGATATTAAGGGACAAATGACATACTTCTATGAATGGAGCCATAATCTAACAGATTCCACATCAGAGAAACAAGACTGTGAAGTATTTAAAGTCCTTGGTGGATTCAAGGATTGCCCACATTATGAGATTTAGGAATTAGGGGTGTGGAGGGAGGTTATCTTTCAACTGATTCACAAGAAGGGCTTTTGCACACGTCATTCACTTGGCTCCTTTTTGTTGTTGTTGTTCCCTGTGTAATCAGGTATTTGCTTTGGGATAAAGACCATTCCATCACATAGTCCAGCTTATCCTGCTGTGAATTCTAATCATGTGTATGCAGAACTTTGATCGGTAGCCATGGAAATATAGATGATAGCACTAATTTGGCATCTTAAGGTTCCTGAAGGAATAGGTGAGAAGAGGGGCAAAGTCAGGCAAGAGAACACCCTGATGAAATACAAATAGCTTCACTCAGCAGCAGAGCATGGCAAGAATTGTTATGCGCAAGCGGAAGGCAAACTGATGGTTTGCCTTGGAGGTGGTTTTCCCCATGTCAGAAGAATTGGAATCTTAGGTGTGTGCTCCTTACAGAAGACGTGTGTGATGCCTATTTATACTCACTAAGCAGATTCTATGATTTAAAAACATATACTAGTGTTCTCCCTGAAATCTTAGCTGCCAAGGGTTGTGAAACTCAATTGTTTTAGTCATAAGTAGTTACCACAGAGCGGTATGATACATTTTTGTAAAAAAGATTTGAGAGTGCATGGCAGAGATAGGTGTGTAATCTCAGGACAGAATATCGTTATTTTCCAGATGGAAACAAATCTTTTCAATTAGACCCCTCAGGATTTCAGTTTCAAACTGCTTATGGATGCTTAAGCCAGTAAAACAATGAGCTGCTTAGCTTAGCTTATGGCAAATGGCTTAAAAACTTGTGGTATTTTTAATTGGCTTTTTATTTATATAAAGGCAATACCCTTATCTAACAAATGTTTATTCAGTGCCTACTATACATACTGTTCTAGGCTCTGGAAATACAGTAGCGAAGAAGCCAGAAAAAATCCCACCCTCCTGAGATCGAATTGTGGTAAGGGAAGACAGGCAAGAAACAAAATAAATTCATAAAAAAAAATTTTCAACGATGCTAAGTGCTTTGGAGAAAATAAAGCAGGCAAGTGGGGTAAGTGGACGTGTGGGGCAACCTGAAGGACTTTGGCTTGGACTCTGTGAACTAGGAAGCCCCTGCAGGGTTCTGAACAACAGAGCAACACGATCTGACTGTATGTGAACTGGATCAGTCTGGGGAATGCTGCTAAGAAACTGGAGAGGAGCAATAAGAGAAACTCAGGGACCAGAGAGAAGACACTGGAATAATTCAGATGAGAGGTGGTGGCTGGACCCAGTGGCAGCAAGGAAGGTGGTGAGAAGGGATCGGGCTCCAGACATACTTTGAATATAGAACCATCAAGCTTTGACATGGATAGGATATGGGTTGTGACAGGAAGAAAAAAGCCAAGGATAATTCCGGGTTTTCTGTGTACACTGTTTGAGGGGAAAAAAAAAAAATCACACGATTCTTGTATCAAATAATAGCAGTCCTCTACCTCACTCTTTCCAAATCCTAATTCCAGCTCTCCACAGGCAACCCTTTTCAAACGTTTTAAGTGTTTCCTCTGGCATTTATTGCCACATTTCTAAATACTATACTGACAGTGCTTGGTTTTTCCACCAGATATTAGTGATATCTCCTGACTTCCTACTATGAAGCAGAGGATATCTCACTCTTACACCACTGTCCACTGGCCCCACATATGCACGCACACGCCTCAAAAGCACTTTCTCCCACATCCTCCCCAAACCACATTTTTAGTGAAATCAATATTCAGGGTTTTCCTTATAAAGGCTACACAAATATCGTTCAAAGCAAACCCACATAACATATTATGATGATGACCTCTCATAAGTTTTTTTCCCCTTTTTGTTTTGTTTTTCTAATCCATTCTCCAACATGAGACTACCCTCACATGCCCAAACATCACTCAGGATCTGATCAGACATGCCAGGGAATATAAGCTCTTCCATTTCTTCCTGGAGTCCTTCAACCATCTACTCTAACCTGGACCCACTTGTACTGCTACCATCCTGGAGCATGACATCCCTGCAGCTCCAGCCTGGGGATTCCTCTCGCCTTGCTCTGTGGTGGATCTCAGCTCTTGGATCTTTTTCTTTGGATGGAGGACATCCTCAGGTAGAGTCAAGACTGCCCACATTCCAATCCCAATTCTACCACTGACTAGCCATGTGACCTTGAGAACTCACTTCTCTACGCCTCTTCCCCACTTACAAAACAGGGAAATGTGAGTGTCCATCTCATATTGTGGCTGTAAAGTACTGAAGGGAAGCACAGTAAGCACTACTTAAGTGTCAGCTATGACGATAATGACTACAGAGAATGTGTGCATGGGAGATGTCATTAGCCTATATTTACCCTTCACTTGATGGTTCAGAAAGGAAGAGAATTCTGAGTTGGACAATATTTCCCTAGCTATTGCAAAGGTACTGCTCTACTGTCTTCTACCTTCTAGTGCTATCAGTGAGAAGTATGACAGTATTTTAATTCCTGCACCTTTGTAAGCGACCTTTTCTCTGAAGTCTTTGAAATCTTCTCTTTAGCTTTGGCCTTCCAACATGCATTCTTTTGTGCCTTGATGTGAACTCTTCCTATTCATTTGCGCTGTATTAAGTGAATTCTTTTCATTCTACAAACTCACGTCCTTCAGGTCTGGGACGTTTTCTTACATTAATTCTTTATTTCCTATCTTCCCTTTTCTGTTGTAATGGCTATAAACGTTATAGATTGACTCTTATTTTCTTACCTTTCCTGCTTTTCATATTTCAACTTTATCTTCTAACCCACTAATGTAATTACTAAATTTTTGCTGATTTAAATTTTTGCTAATTTTTAAGAGTTCATTTTGATTCTCAAACTTTTTTATAGCCTAATGTTCTTATTTCATGGCTACAACGTTACCTAAGAATTTTTTTGTTTGTTTTGTTTTCAGACCCGTCTGTCACCCAGGCTGGAGTGCAGTGGCACGATCCTAGCTCACTGCAGCCTCAAACTCCTGGGCTCAAGCAATCCTCCTACCTCAGCCTCCTGAATAGGCATGCACCACCACGTCCAGCTAAATTTTTTATTTTTTGTAGAGAAGGGATCTATTTTGCCCAGGCTGGTCTAGAACTCCCGGTCTCAAGCACCCCTCCCACCTCAGCCTCCTAAAGTGGTGGGATTACAGGCATGAGCCACCACGCTTGGCCTCTAAGGATATTAATTATCATTCTCAATGAAATTTTTTTCTGTTCTCTATAATTCTGTTTCTATGAAGGTCTTTTTTTCTGTGTGTTTTGGTCTCTGTTTTCATGTTGGAGACTTTCTCCAAATGTCTGATGAATCTTAGGTGAACATTCATGCTGATGAGTAACGCACTATAGAGCTGAATGGAAAAACTCCCTGAATAGGTGGGGCTTGCCCATAGGACAGCATTTTCAGATGACAGGGCAGCAAGCTGGTTTTTTCACTGAAGGAACACTTAAGTGTTAGTAACTCAGATGCTTTCTCTTGGGTCAGTTTCACAGAGCAGAATCCTCCAACTTACTAACTGAGGGGTGAAAGCCTGGCTGCCAGCATCAGTGGAATCCAGGAACTAAAGGTCTCATTTGTCAATATTGTATATTCCACTCAATTTTCCTGTTTTCAGTATGATATCTTACCCTTCCTGAGCAGTACATATCCATCCAAAAGCAACCCGATTTTCTGCTAGAGTGGGAGGAGGGCGGGGAGCCCCACTTGGGCAGGCAACCTCTGGACTACTTATCCTAATTCTCAACCACTCCTTCTTTTCAGCCTTCTCCCATGGCCTGGCCTTTGAGAAGTGCCTAATATCCTCCGTGTCCCCAGGTTTTCTAGTTTCTACAGTGGGAACTGTTTGGTTCCGTAATGACTGCCTCCCATACAATATTTAGCTATATTCATTTTTCAAATATCAATGTGTTTAGAGGAAAATGTTCTGCATTTAAAAGTCTAATTGGTGAGGCCAGCTGCGGTGGCTCACGCCTGTAATCCCAGCACTCTGGGAGGCCAAGGCAGGCAGATCACTTGAGGTCAGGAGTTCGAGACCAGCCTGGCCAACATGGCATACCATGTCACTACGAAAATACAAAAAAAATCAGCCAGGCATGGTGGCACACACCCAGCTACTCAGGAGGCTGAGGCATGACAAGTGTTTGAACCTGGGGGGTGGAAGTTGCAGTGAGCCAAGATCATGCCACTGCATTCCAGCCTGGGAGACGGAATGAGACCCTGTCTGAAATAAATAAATAAATATCTAATTGGTGAACTGTACACATAAAAATGATTAAGATGGTAAATTTTATGTTATGTATGTCACAATTTTTAAGTCTAAATGGAAGTAATACAGAATGTTCCAGATATGATATACAAATATCAGATACAGATATAGTTTGGTGTATCATAGCATGATATAGGATATATCCTGGATAATGAAAGTTCTTTATATCCGGAGAAATCAATAAACCATTAAAACAACCAACCTGCATCCACTAAAAAGATTAGCAATTTTTTTATTATTGCAGAAAACAAAAACTAAACCAAACCAAACCACAATCACAATTCTTTGCCTTGATTTGCCTCTTTAATATATCATTAGAACTTGAGGAAGATATTTTGTTTATAAGTAATCTTTATATTTAAGTATAAAGACATGTTGTTAAATCAATTATTTCTGTACCTTTTGCTAGTCTACACTATGAAACAAAGCCTTAAAGAGGAAAGCACAAATCCATTTAGTGGTACATCCTAAGAACGTGAAGAATAAAAAAACAAGATGAGTGACGTTTTCCACCCAGCTATTTAAAATTCTGTCATAAACTGCAAAAGTTCTAACATAATAATGCATTAATATGCAATACTTAAGTTAACGAATCCTAACTTCATACTATAGGAATGCTCATTTGACCTGAAATGTGATGTTCAAAAAATGTGTACTTAGTAAGTACATTTCTATCATTTCAACTAACATTTGTAGTCATGCATTAAAACGCCAATACTTCAAACACTGTCTATGGGAACTTTTTTTTTTTTCTTTTTTTGAGACGGAGTCTCGCGCTGTCACCCAGGCTGGAGTGCAGTGGCGCAATCTCGGCTCACTGCAACCTCCGCCTCCAGGGTTCATGCCATTCTCCTGCCTCAGCCTCCCGAGTAGCTGGGACTACAGGCGCCTGCCACCACGCCCGGCTAATTTTTTGTATTTTTTTTAGTAGAGACGGGGTTTCACTGTGTTAGCCAGGATGGTCTCCATCTCCTGACCTCATGATCTGCCCGCCTCAGCCTCCCAAAGTGCTGGGATTACAGGCGTGAGCCACCGTGCCCGGCCTGTGGGAACTCTTTTCACACAAATATATTGTTAAAACTGAATTCATCGAAACAACCCATTCTAGACTTTTAAATTACTGATCTGGGTTCAGCCAGTTGGGATGACGGCAGATAAGGGCAACTGCAGGCTGGTTCTAATAAGAAGCCCACTGTAAGTATTAAACATACAAAAACTTCAGTATCTGGAGGACTTATCAAAAAACTAAAGAAAACAGATAGCTTCAGACTAACTCAAACTGCCTGCATAGTTTATGGTAAGAAACAGACTCTGCTGCTCTTTTTACTTCTCTGTATTTTTGTTTTCTATACGAGAACAAGTTTCCAGTGCAAGGGTTTATTTCACAGAAAGTTACACCAAATTACAAACAACAACTCAAAAATTAAGTAAAAAGGTACCCCAAATGACTAATTTGAGGGAAGATTTCATTTACGTGAGTACCAGGTTTTCACAATAGAGACTGGTCTGGCTTTTTTTCCAACCGTGTGGTTGAGAAATGTAAGATGTAATACTCTACAGTAAAATGCCCTTTACCATCAACTAAGCTGCCAGCTAGAAAGCAGCATGGCCCAGTTTAGATCAGCATTCCCCCAAATCTGTTTCCAAAACACGCTAGTGTTCTATGACATTAAAAGGTATTACTATGTAAAACATAAATACTAGCAGTATTTTTCTCTAAAAATGTACTCTTTTAATATGCCAGGAAGATTAAGGGGGTAGACAGCTGTCATCATGCAACAACTTGCCTTTAGGAAACAGCTTACCATAGCCCAGAATGCCAGGCTGTGGCATGAAGCCACTCAACCCACAAGTGTGTGACATACATTAGAGCACTGAGGCATGGGAGCATTTACCAACAGCTATGATACTGTGTGTGCAACATACAGATCAAGCTGTGATCACTTATTGCAGTCATGAATGTTTCTGTTATACCAGTTTTGGTAACACGTGAACACATTACAAACTCACAAATGTTCCATGGACAGATAAATTTGGCAAATGCTAGCATAGATGAAATATGCCAAAACCTGAAACATGGATTGAAATAATTGACATAAAATATTGGGATGATGTCTTTACTAGGAAACTTATAAACTTAAGCTTACTGAAAACAACTTGCCAGAGAATAATATTATAGGATATTTACCTTTTGTAATAGCAAAAGCTTAACGGAAATCATTAGAAGATTATTATTCCTTAATCTTCTAACCTCCAAAGGAATCTGTAACACAGTGCACAGATCAATTCATCTATACATAGCGAGGAGGATGCCAGCAGTCGAACTGGATAATGTGATGGTAGTAGTTTCGAGGATGTTACAAAGGAGTGGGCTGGACTTAGGACCAACAAGACACAGTAGAGCAACCTAGCGCTGGCAATCCTGGGAAGCTGTGGCTAGCCCAAATTCTGAAGGCAAAGGAGGAGAGTGGCCACTGGAACCTAGGGAGGGTAGCTGTATGGAGACAGCCACCCGAGAGAAGCGACAGCCTCGGGCAGAGGGATGCAGTCACCCTAGGGGCCCCTCCAGGGAGCAAGTTGGGAAAATCAATACCCTAAACTCATTCTTCTCCAACCTACAAAATGCCTTCCAGTCCCTCTCATCGCCTGCTCCAGTCAGAAGCCACAGGGCAAGGGTGCCTATCAGTGTTGCTGGTAAAGTCACGTTTGGAGGGAACACAGTGAGGAAGGATAAGAGTAGCTCTGGTAGGGCAACAGCTCTTTGACATGCATTTCACCTCATCTTTTTCTCCTGTCTACCTTCCTTCCCTTATTTTTGACAAATAAAGAATGCCCAAGATGTGAACTTTTTCAAGAGCTATCTGGGAATGATTGAATTATAAAGTTTCTAAATAACCCAGAGCTTCCTATAATATATGTAAAAGAAGCTTTACCCAAAGTCTGGGCCAGGGGTTACATCTCTATTTGGAAGAATGAACAAAGACCTTAAAGCTACTACCACCAATTTCTACCTAACCCTGGACTTGAAGCAAGCCAGTAAGCTATAGAACTTTCCTTTGATCTGCCTGGAGAGAACCCTCCTTGTGGTATATTTAATTTTTGTGAGAAATAGAACACTTCAAATAACTTTCATTGTTTAAGTTCTACAGAGGTTTGCATAAAACCAAAAGATGAAATCTATGTTCCAGTGAAACTGCCCCTTGAATTATTGTCTATCATATTTCATAAAACATATTTTTCACCAGTATTTCTAAATAAAAAAATAATTATCTCAGACATTACAAGTTTCCATTTACATGATGCTCAAGAACAGGCAAAACTAACCAATAATGGTACATGTTAGAATAATGGTTACTTCTGATAGGAGGAGGAGGATTCAGGCTGGGAACAGGCATGAAGGAACCTGCTGGAAGTGTTCTAACTCCAGATCTTGTTTTACAGCTTGATATACATGACACGTATCAAGAATCATTGGGCTATACCATTAAGGTAGCAGACTTCAAGCACTACAATGTTTGTTGAGGCATTGAGGCATTTTATACCGCAATTTAAAAAGAAATAATTATTAAATGATTTTCATAATTACCTCCTCGGCCAACATCTTAGTGTAAAAAAGGTTTTGGGTTCGTTCATACATTTACTACGGGGCAGCAAACTGTGGTTCTCAGCCCACTTGCCTCTTTTCTACATGGTTTTACTGGAACACAGCCACTGGCTGCTTTTGTGCCTTAGCTGCATGGGTGAGTAGTTAGAGATGGCAAGAAGTACAAAGCCCAAGATATTTACTATCTGATCCTTTAAGGAAAATTTTGCCAACCCTTGACTTAAACTTCACATAATAAATTGTCTTTTTTTTAGGAGAATTCAAATTAATCTCATCCAGATACCAAAGTAACAAGAGGAACATTCTTTAGACAGCTTAGTAAATCAATCAGTAAATTGTAACCAAGAATTTTACAAAACTCTAACATAGGGTGGCCGCATTCTTCTGCTTGAGTTACACTATGGGTTTAAGACACAGATCACAAACTGGCATTCTGTTTAGCCTTACACGATGTTAATTTTTTTATTTGATGCCAACATTTAAAAATAGGAGAATACTTTTTTTTCAAAAACCAAGATTTTCCTTCTCATTAAAAAAAATCATGGAAGATCCAGCAACATTGGAACCATATTCCTACAAGGTAACAATGAGCTCAAGTGAATTCATCAACAGAGAGGCCAAGCATCACTGACACTCAGTATCGCTTCTGCATTGCTCATTTCTCTTACAGCACAGGTGAGAAGAAAATAAAATGCAGCTTCTAGTTGCACCTACATAAGGAGTAGGAAAGTGGAAGACAGAAGCCAGAGGTTTAACCCTCAGCTCACTCGTTATCTTAGTGACTCTTGGGCGCATGAGTTGAAACTTGAGGTTTAAGCAATGGCCTCTAGGGAAAATGGCAGAAAAGAATGAGAGGACTCTGGCCAGAAGGGCCAAAAAGGGCAATGTTTTATGCCTCCAGACATCAAGAGGTGGGTGTCTTCCTCCATCTCCCACCTTGGGACAACTCTGCCTATTAAAAAGCTTCTTACTATTTTTTGCAACTTCTTGTGAGTCTATAATTATTTCAAAATAAAAACGTTTTCTGAAAAAGCTTTGTCTTACACTAACTAAAAATCTGTCCAATTGTATAAAACAAGTTTAATCCTCTTCCATCAGAAAGTTCTACCATTTTCTATAGCAGGAAGTCCCCAACCCCTGGGCCACAGGCCAGCACTAGTCCGTGGCCAGTCAGGCAATGGGCCACACAGCAGAGGTGAGCAGAGGGCAAGAGAATTAGCACCTAAGCTCTGCTCTCCTCTGTCCTGGCATTAGATTCTCACAGGAGCGCAAACCCTATTGTGAACAGCACATGTGAGGGATCGAGGTTGCATGCTCCTTACTAACACCTGATGATCTGAGGTGGAACAGTTTCATCCTGAAACCATCCCCCTGACCTCCCCGATCCATGGAAAAATGCTCTTCCATGAAACCAGTCCCTGGTGCCAAAGATGTCAGGGACCGCTGATCTAGAACTCTTGCCCAGATTCTCACCAAGAGTCTCCTTTCTCGAGGACTAGGAAAAGAGCAATTATTATCACCTCTCTTGCTCTATCATGAATTCATTCAATTAGCAAATATTTATTAAGCACCCACCATGAGTCAGATATTGTTCTAGATTCTAGGGGTACAATACTGAACTATGTTCTTGCCCTGGAGAACCTACACTAAGTTATTAGGTGGCCATATCATACTACAAATTTTATTACACTAAATTTAGTCCACTAAATTCTTTCTTTTTTTTTTTTTTTTTTTTTTTTTTGACAGGGTCTTGCTCTGTCTGAAGTGCAGTGATGCAATCACAAATCACTGCAACCTTGAACTCCCAGGCTGAAGAGATCCTTCTGCCTCAACCTCTCCGGTAGCTAGGACTACAGGCACACACAACCATGCCTGGCTAGTTTCTATTTTTTGTAGAAATGGGGTCTCGCTATGTTGCCCAGGCTAGTCTTAAACTCCTGGCCTCAGGCAATCTTCCCGCCACAGCCACTCGAAGTGTTGGGATTACAGGTGTGAGCCACCATGCTCAGCCTCTAATTCTTTTTTATATCCACTGCCCAAATTATAAGCTTAAGCAAAAGGGTATATGGGTCCAATTTTCTTATGGTAATCCTTCCTTCCTAAATATTGTATTTTTAGACTCTGCCCTTCTCTCTCGTCTGTCAAGAACTTCTAGAATAGCAGTTTCTTTTCCACCTTAACATACACTCCATCCCTTCTAGTTTCTTGCTGTCTGCAAACCTGATAAACCCATCCTTCGGTATAGCCATCCAAGTCAGTCATTAAAAGGTTCGACAGGACAGCACTGAGGTCCCTAAGACCCCTGACATACATCTCTAGCATCTACCCTAAGAGACACGAGTCCATTATTTAATGCTCCATGGCTTCCCTCTGTCAATGAGCTATGAGTCCAGCCTGATTTGCCCTATCCACAAGAATACCACTGGGTCTGCCTCAAACACCTAGCTAAATTTCAAATACAGTATGCTCATCAATTTTCTCTAATCACCTAGGGGGCAAAAGAAGAATTTTTTTTAATGGGAAGAGAACAGTTAAAAAGGAAGAACAATGGAGTAAGGACAGGTCATTACATAGCTTCCAAAATAAACCAGAATTCTTGAATAAATGCTAGGTATACTTAAAAAAAAATCACTCCTCGGGGAGGTGAAAATCACATTACTGTTTATAAGAAATGTCTTTCAGACGATTGATTTAATCATATGAACTTTTATACACTATACCTTTGGCCACAATATAGATGAACACAATTAGCAAATTTAATCTTTGGAACCTGTTTTCTATTGTTAAAGCTAAGCAACTTTTTTTTTTTTCAGCTAAAAGCTTCTGCCTTTAATACACTCACTGGTGGTTATTAAAAAATGGAAATGTGGTTGAATTTCCAGAAGTATATTTGAACTCTGTATACAGTTCACATGAGGGAGTCCGATTGAAATCATATTTTAAAAAGCTATTATATGTGACTAAGGCATAAAGCATGACACGAATTAACATTCAGCACTTGGAAGTGAAATAAAAACAAAAAGATATTTCATGAATATGGTAATGACTGTTCTCTGGCACAAAATCTGAAAGCACTTTATGCATTTTAAGTGAACTTCAAATTTTAAGTAAACTTCCGGAGTATCACTGTCAAGTTTTAGAACTATCATCCAGCAAGTCATTTTACAGACACAATCTGGGATTTATGACAATCTGGCAAACACTACATTATAGTCGATTTTCTTCCCACTAGGGAGAAAAGTTTAGCCCAAAAACAGTACCAACAAGTTTATGTGAAGCATGTATAACTTGAAGAAAACAAACCATCGGCACTTTAGACCTATTCACATGACTAAAGAAGTGTTGTTACGTGCTACGTACATTAAAGCCAAGTCTTTACTCTCCATACATCTTGAACCCAGTAGATGTTAGATTTACCTTGAAAGCAACAAAGCAGGATTTATTGTAAAATACTCTAAGTTTGTTGCTCTTCACTAAACTCCCACATTTCTCTGATGAGCTCAACTTTTACTTCCTAATACACGTCTTAAAAAAAAAAAGCAAACTGCAATCATTTTATTTCAGTGCTAAGGTAATTAAAGCACAATACTTCACCCTTGTCTTCCAACATATATGAAAGTTGAAAGGTTTTTACTTTATTCAGTGAAGGTGGCTTCAGTGTCAGTGCTTATCCAGAGGGGACTTCCATCCTATCACGCTATGTTCTATTTGCTGTAATTCTCTGCCTGCTTTCCAGACTTAGAGTTTTGGGAATTAGAGAATATTCACTTCCAGGGCAATTCCCGGCTCTCCAAACTGCTTACCTGAATATATTTCCGCTGAGTTTCGTCATTTAAAACATGTGCAACATGCTTGGAAAAAATCTTTTCTCTGCCAGTTCTGGCATGGATACCAACCATAGTGACACCGATGGGCCAAGGCGCATTTCCAATGGCCATCTGAAGATAAGCATCATTTGCCTGAAAGGAAAGTGTAAGAAGAAATCAGAAAGGCGAAAATGTTGTACTGGCTCAAATTCTTACTGAAAGTATTTCACAGCCCTTTATGATGTAATTTTCGTCCACCTTTTGGGCACATGGAAAATATTACCATGACTGTTATTCAAACAAAACAGATTAAAATACAGGGTAACAGACTGCCCTGCCCAGGACCACCAATGTCCATGGAAAAAACAGAAACCAAAGCTAGGTTGTGAGTAAAAAAAAGGCAAACATTCCTTTGCAGCCTTTGTATGCTGGAAATTAATATGTTGCAGATCTGGAATTACCAGGTAGGCACTTCAATGCACTGATGAAAATTCTAGTTTTGGTCTCCTTTAGACCCAGTCTTCTCCACAGGGGGTCATGTAGAAGACAGGGGCTAAGTAGTTTTTCATCGTCCAACCCTAAACAATATCCACTCCCTACACAGCACTGTGGCTCTCTGAAGGAAGTGGGGGCTCAGTATGTGCCGACGACCACACAGGGTCTTTAACAGATGTGTAAACAGAGAGGAAACACTGGCCCTCCAGTCGAATAGCTGAAGGATGAGATCGCTCCACTTTGCCCCCCACCCCACCCCCTACCTGCCAAGAACCGTTAAAGAACAGCCACAAAAAATGAAGACAGAAACCAATGAAGACAAAAGGCTTTTTTTCCTAACCAAGCCTGGCTAGCTGTGAGGAAGAACAAGAAAAACATAAAGCAAATAAATTCTAAAGGACCTCAAGGGTTAAGAGAAGCTTATAAAGCCAGGCCTCAAGGAGATTTTAATTTAAAAAAATCAGACACCTATGAGATTGATAGGGAGAGTCAATTTTTTTAAAATCAGATACTACAGATAGGGTAGCTGGAAGATCATTTTCTACCCTAAAGATAAATGTGAACTTGCTCTGCTCACCGGTTTTATAAAGCTTAATTTAAAAAGGGCCTATGTACATTTTTATCACTAATTTTCATGTGTATAAACTTTAACATTGGATCTTAACTGATAAAAACTGCAATATTTAGTTTCCCCCAAATTTCAAAGAAACTGTCTAAACAGGTTATTAAAGCTTCTTGGTTCTTTCTGTAGTTTATACAAAATAAGCTTGCACTTGCACTTAGTTCTGATATGTGATCACGAGAAAAAGCAGTAAGAGGAAAGGCATCCATTCTAGCAGGGAGTGATGTGCATTCTTCCTGCAGTGATGGTGACCTTATCCATCCATGCCAATGCAACCATCCTTAGTAAGAATCATGCAACTGACAGAAACTAAGAAGCACATTTATAACTGTAAGACAAAAAATATTTTCTTTGAGAAAACTGGCTGGCTCTTAAAAGGAGTAAAATCACTGCAGGAACCTCTTTAGCCTAAGGCTCTAATCACGTAAATCATCCAGTCACTCAGGAATGCCAGCAGTCCCTTGTTACGTCAGTATACAGATACAGCACTGGATAAGCAATGTCATTCCGAGTTCCCTACCGCTCTGGCACTGGCACTGGGGTTGCTGCACTGAAATGCTCTACTCCTAGTGCCTTGGGAGGCACGGCCACAAGAAGCCTCCCTCAAACTCTGTTCTTTCTTCATTGCCACTACTGGTGCATTGGGCCCTTCCCTTCTTGTTCCCCTGTACCAACTGACAGTCCTCCTCTCATCCCTTTCTAAACTCTATCTCAGGGAGCCCTGGACACCAGCACCCTTTCCCTCACCGCTGCCTCCCAGAGCCCATTCAGGAGTATAGACACTGGGGCAAGGGAGGAGAGACTTCCACTGCAGGGGTCTGCAACGCTGAAATGGGAGAGATGAGTCCTGGAAGCCTTGCTTGAACCATTTCCCCATAGAAACAATTACAAAGAGTGGTTAAATTCCACTGTACCATCAGTGCAACAGTTCAGCTATATTACAGATTAAAGGGGCTTTTATGACCATCCTGGGAAACTCATCTATACAACGTTGTTTCTATGGGAAAATTTGTTCCAAGACATAATCAGCCATTTACAAAACTTTGAAATTCATAAAATGAACACTGCCTATATAAAGTTCATGCTCTGAAGAACCTTTAGGCCTATTTTAAAAATGACCAAGAGCATACAGATGAGGTCTGTATTTTCTTAGTCAGGTTTGTTATTCACTGCCTAACAGTAAAGCTGGCAAATACAATAGAAAATAAAACGCTTTTTACTACTAACTCATCTCACATTTATTCTTAAATCTACTATGTAAAATCCTCCTATCCCAAATGAACATTATATTACGTACATAACCTAGATATACTCTTAACAATTTCAAAGAACAGCATGGGAATGTACCTTCACGTATTCTCTCTGCAACATGAATTTAATAATATCCGTTATTGATTCTTTAATATCAGCAGGAAGATTCTGAAAAAAATAAATAAGAAATTTTGGAAGCTACTATGTATAGATGTATAGGGAAAAAACAGACTGCATTTATTCTAAATTTATACTGTATTTTTAAAGTCAGTTAAAAAAAGTATTTTCCAAGAAACCTCACCCTTTTCCGTAGCTTTCTAAAAAGTGGTCTTAGGTAGGACTCGGTCTGTTTCTGGGTCGCACTGTTCAGTTTACCCTGCACACTGCGTTTCACATAATCTTCTCTGGCATTCAATTCTTTAGCCCAAACGCCAAGAAGAAACTGTTGAAAGGATGGGTAAACTTAGACTACAATGCCACCCAGTGGTTCAGTACATCTAAATGCTCTCTAGCACACAAAAACAGAATACAATCATCCTTAAAGTAAATGTCTTGATTAAAATGCCACCAAATAATATAGAATAAGCTAGTTCTGCTTATTGGTCATGATAATGCTTTGAAGTAGTACCTTTGGCAAGTCACCAACTTCCCTAGTCTACATCTATTCCTAGCTCAGGATAATTTGCTTCCCTCAGAAAACAACTATCAAGTTTCATAGTTAACTATTTGAGAGGAAATAAACTTGTATTTGTATTTGTATTATATACATAAAATTCAACAAGTTACGAGTTACAAGAAAACTGGACTTTCTACATATGCTGTAGAGACCATGATTAAGTTTAAAAACCATGAAAGCACCTGACTAAAGGAGAGGAAGGAGAAAGAGAAACAGAAATAAAGAAGCCAAGACCCAGCATTCCCACTCCACCCCCACCCCTAGATAACTACCTCAGTGCCCCTTGGGTTTAACTGTATAAAGGGCACCCTTCCTGGAAGTAGGAAACAGAGAAGGCTGAGGAGGATGTTGTCCTCTAGGGGCATCATCTATGCATATCCTAAAAAAGAAGAGGCCATCACTCAAAGAGGAAATTCTAGTTCATACTAATTCTTATGCCCTATCTACTTCCATGCTGTATCCTCAATATATTCAGAATCTTGATGAATAATATGTTGTATCTAAACTGTACACACAAGAAAAAGCATTCCTTGCATGTAAATCTCTTGGTCTGAACACAGTTTGTGAATAAACAATAAAATATCTGGGATTTGTTCATACTCTATCTAGACCACTAAAGAGAGAAATGTTGAGAAGACGGTTGGAATCAGCAAGTCAGCAAAAATAGGCAGCTATTTGTAGAACTGAAGAATTGAGCACTCTCTGTAAGGTTACAAAAAAAACTAAAAAATTAGCTGGGCATGGTGGTACATGCCCTACCACTCGGGAGGTTGATGAGCCCAGGATTTCAAGGTTACAGCGAGCTAGGATGACACCACTGCACTCCAGCCTAGGCAACAGAGAAAGACACTTTTGCTTAAAAAAAAAAAAAAAAAAAAAAAAAAGCTAGAACCCTCTTCTTCCTTGGGTTGTCTAGAAATTCAGCGGGACACTGTGGCTCATGCCTATAATCCCAGGATTTTGGGAGGCCGAGGCAGGTGGATCACTTGTGGTCAGGAGTTCAAGACCAGCCTGGCCAACAGGGTGAAAACCTGTCTCTTTACTAAAAAAATAAATAAATAAATAAATAAAAAATACAAAAACTAGTCGGGTGTGGTGGCATGCTACTTGAGAGGCTGAGGCAGGATAATCGCTTGAATCCAGGAAGCAGTGGTTGCAGCAAGCCGAGATGGTGCCACTGCATTCCAGCCTGGGCGACAGAGCAAGACTCTGCCTCAAGAAAAAAATAAGCAACTCTACCAACTTCTTATTAATTCTGCTGTTGTGATTCTTTTCTATGTGTTTACATTAATGAGCCAGCTTTAAAAAATATGCCACAAGAAAAGCAGACCAGTCGCAGTGGCTCATGCCTGTAATCCCAGCACTTTGGGAGGCTGAGGTGGGTGGATCACCTGAGGTCAGGAGTTCAAGATCAGCGTGGCCAACATGGTGAAACCCGATCTCTACTAAAAATACAAAAATTAGCCAAGCATGGTGGTGGGTGCCTGTAATCCCAGCTACTCAGGAGGCTGAGGCAGGAGAATCACTTGAACCCGGGAGGTGGAGGTTGCAGTGAGCTGAGATTACACCACTGCACCCCAGCTTGAGAGACAAGAGCAAGACTCTGTTTCCAAAAAAAAAAAAAAGCCACAAGAAAAGTAAATATGCATTTTCTCTTACTAACTGCTACATCAAGTGCATAGTGATATCATAAACATCATGTATGTGTGAGAAATGTGTATTGAGGCTTTCCCGTTCCAGCCTTTAACCCTTGGTAATCCAAAAATATAAGAATAGTTCATAAGGATCCAAGGCATCCTCATCCCCTCGCCTAAGACACGCACCTTCAGGAATTTGGTGATGATGTCCATGTCTTTATGATCATCGCCTTTCCCTAAGGACTCTCCAAGCGCCTGAAGAAAAAGAAACAATGCTTCTGTTCATTAATACAGAGCAACAACTAAACATATATATTACCAACACCAGTCTAAACATGGCTCTTGGTCACATATGCTGTTCAATTTTTACTTAAAAATCGGATGGAATTTCTAGATAAGAAACCAAAAACAAAAAACACGGATTTGCCACTTAAATTTGGAGAGCATGTTACCTTTTATGAAAAGTCAAGAGGGGGTAATGAATGTGAGATTTCTTTTTGGGGGAACCAAAATGTTCTAAAATTAGATTGTGATAATGGTTGCACCACCATGTGAATATACTAAAAACCACTGATTTGTATATGTTAAATCAGTCAACTGTATGGTATGTCAATATCTCAATAAAGCTGTTTTTTAAAAATAAACAAATAAATACACCAATAGGAAAAAAAAAAAAAAAAAAGCCCACAACTGGTTGCCCATACCAATTATTTTAGTAAAATTTAGGGACCATAGACAGGTATTGGAGGAGGCAGGGGATTAAAATGACGTCTTCCTCAACTATGATCTTATTCAGAGGGACAGCTACACATACAAGAGCCAGGAATTAAAGGAAACAGAAAAATAAGTTTATGTTTCCTTAAGCATTAAGAACTTTAAGCCATATTTATTTTACATGCTACTTACATGATACAAAATTGCTTTTTAATTAAGATTATACACTAACACTCCAAAAGCAGCACTATAGCAAAAATCAGACAGCAAGATATTGCCAAGCGTTGGCAGGGCTGGAAAGACAGGGGACCCTCACACTGCTGGGTGTAGACTAGGACAGCCATTCCAGAGAGTAACTTGGCAGTACTTAGACAAGTTAAATATACATATATAAATCCCACAATCCCACTTTGCTAGGCCATCGTGGTTATGCACAAGACTGTTCATCAGGAAGCTGTTTGTGGTAGGAGAGAGCTGGGAACAATCTAGCTGTCCATCATTACCGGAGAACAAAAAGTCAAATGCAGTGAATGGCGTAACACATGGAATCCTATGTAGCAATTAAAAGCAAAGGATTCAGTGTACACAGAGCATCAAGGATAGCTCTTAAAAACATAGTGCTAACTGAAAAAAAGAAAAGTAAAACACGGAATAAAGAATTTCACAGCATAACATCATTTATGTAAATCAAAAATACATGCTCACAAAACACTGCAGGTCACAAGAGCACCAACAAACAGAAAGATGCATATCCAACATATTAGAATGGGTTCCTTTTGAAGGCAGGAAGTAGGGGAATGTGAGTGGAGGATGAGAAAAAGGGGAGTAAATAAATAAAAGCGAGGAGTAAATAAACAAAAGACCAAGGACAACAGTGTGCTCTGCCCTCAACAATCTGCCCGACTCAGTCATCTGCTCCAGAGGAAAAAGAAGGGTGCCAGGGATGTGCTGGGCTTGGTGTAGAGATTACCTCTAACTCTTCAATTGTGGTGTTTTCCTCATGAACTTTCAGATCATTCTGTGTGTCTTCCTCTCCAGGCTCCTGACCGCCGACGATTTCATTGAGGTACTGCTGATCAATCTTATCCAAGGCTGCTTTCAAATCATTCCTCAATCCCTAAGAAAAGCAAAAAAAGGAAGAACACCTGTTATGAAAGGAAGAACACCTGTTTTTTCACCTTTGATTTTTCATTAATAACTGCAAATATTTTTTCCCCCACAAGAAGAGTTCAGCAAAAGTAGGGACTCAAATCACATCAATTTATCACACAACTATCACTACTGTCCATTTAAAGTTAATTCTTACGGACCTATTTAAATTAAAACAATGCACAAACAATGGCCAGTCTGCTGGTCAGAAAAATAAAATACACGTGAGTGACAAATCCAAGTAAGAATCTTCATCAATGCTGTAATTTTCTAATGAGGCTTAGTGACAGTGGCAGGTCTCCATTAGAGTCCCCAACCCGTTTGCCCAGCTCATTTACAATGTCTAACCTCAACTACTGTGAACTCCCAAAACATTCAGAAACATCAGTGTAATAAAATTGGTGCCTCATCTATATCCCAGGTTCTCAACTATGTTTCTAGCAAACCAGCAAATTCGCATTTTATGCACATATGGTTCATGACCCTTTAATGAAAATGGAAGCCTCATCTTCCTAAAAATGAATGAGAATCAGCTGCAAGGTTTAAGAGCCAAGGAAACATGGCTGTGAGGCGGCTATAGGGTAATGGTTGAGAGTAAAAGCTATCTGGGTTCAAATCCTTGCCACATACTATTAAATAGCTCTTTGAAAGCTTGCTTAACCCCTGTGTGCCTCAGTAGACTCACCTACAGAATAGGAGTAATGGCACCATCTACTACGTAGGGCTGTAATAAGGATGCTATTTTTTATTTCAGTGAACAGTTACTATGTGATGCAGCTGTTCCAGAACCTCGCAAACATCAAGTCACGCAAGTAAGCTAAGAAATGGACGATGAGCTTTGAACAGTTACTGGAGCACGGTGCACATTCAACCAATGTTAACTCCTAACGTTCTCACACAAAAAGCATCTGATCATTGTCTCCTGTCCCTTCATAAACACAGAAGAGAAACATTCAACTCAAAACACTTATAATTTCTCAAACACTGACTGATCACCTGCTGTGTAAAAAGTATGACGCCAGGCATTCCCAGAGGTCACCTCATCGAATTCTCAGTGCATCCCAGTGAGCCAAATATCACTGCCTCTGTTTTACCAATGAAGATTCTAAGGTTCAAATAGAGTAAAAGACTTGCCAACGGCCAAATAATTGATTACTATAATCCAGGAATGGAATCCAGACCTTGTGCTCCTGTGCTTTGTCCTCAAAACCTCTAGATGCACGGCACAGGACTTGGCATACAAAGGTAAAACAGCCTTTGCCCACCAGGAAGAGATAAATATGCACATAACTCTAATAATAGCGAAAAACAGTAAGTACACTAACAAAGGTTTACTCATAGGCACATGGAGAAGGAAGCAATTAATTCTGACTGGGACCAAAAATAGATTCCGAGAGAAGATGTGGTCACTGAATTGCATGTGAAAGTATAAAAACAAGATTTCAACCAGAGCATACAAGGCAGAAACACAGCAAGCAAAGGAAAAATGATCATTACAGACACAGAGGACTGAAAGCAACTGCTAGTGTTGTGGGGCTGGAATGACAATGCTGGGAAGTAAAGCAGGAAAGTGGTTTGGCAACAAAGAAAGCAGTCAGACAGCCCAGGCTAGCAGACAGAGCAGGTCGGGGAGCGGGCCTGGCCAGCCCCAGCTGTTCCTGCCATTCCAACTGAGACGCCAGGAAAGGGGCAAGATATCAGCTTAGAAGACCAGTCCAGAGGCAGCCTCACATGATTTCGGCCGCAGCCTTCATCTGACTGCAATCACAATAAAGACCCCAAGCAAGATACTGCTCAATCCAGCCCAATAAAACCACAGAACTGGTAATTATTAAGACAATAACAAATTATCTTAAGCTATCAAGTTTCAGGGTGGCTTGTTAATCACCAAAAACAGATTTGGTAATGATAAATCCTTTATAATAAATAAACAAACACTAGTAAGTTTTGGAGTAGTCTGTTACATAGTCATAGGTAACCACACCTGTCTCTCAATAATTGAGAAAGCAAGTAGATAAAAAGTTAGCAAGGCCAAAGAAGATCTGAACAACACTATCATCACTGACATTTGTAGAACTGTACCATGAAAGCAAAACAATACTCTTTTCAAGAGCCCATGGAATAAACCATATGCTAAGCCATAAAACAAGATCAGAGCCTTAAATGTAAAGCAAAAACTATAATATTAAGCTTCTAGAAGAAAATTAAGAATATATATTTGAAATCTTGGGATAGGCAAAGATTTCTTAAGCAGGACACAAAAAGCAATGACCATAAAAGGAAAAAACAATAAATTGGACTTCATTAAAATATAAAACTTCTGGCCCGGGCACTTCGGGAGGCCAAGGCGGGAGGATCCCTTGAGTAGAGGAGTTCAAGATCAGCCTGGGCAACATGAGGAGGCCTCATCTCTACAAAAATTAAAAAATCAGCCAGGCATGGTGGCACACACCTGTGGTCTCAGCTACTTGGAAGGCTGAGGTGGGAGATCGCTTAAGCCCAGGAGCTAGAGGTTGCAGTTAGCCATGATCATGCTGAACTCCAGCCTGGGTGAGAGTGAGACCCTGTCTCAAAAAGCGTGTGTGTACACACACACAAACTTCTGTTCAGCAAAAGATTCAATTAAGAGAACAGGTAAGCCCTAAACTACAAGAAAATAGTCACAAAAAATATTCGTATATCTGACAAAGAACTTCTATCCAGAATATACAAAGAATTCCTATAATCCATTTACAAAAAGACAAGTTTATTTTTAAAATGAACAAAAAGCGCCTGTAATCCCAGCTACTTGAGAGGCTGAGGTGGGAGGACTGCTTAAGCCCAGGAGGTTGCAGCTGCCATGAGCCATGATTATGCCACCGCATTCCAGCGTAGGTGACGGAGTGAGACTCTGTGTCAAAAAAATAAATAAATAAGGAAAGAAAGACTTTAACAGACACTACACAAATGAACACAACTTTATGAAAAGATGCTCCTCATCTTTAGTCATCAGGTAATGTGATTAAAGCCGCAAAGAGCTACTACCAGACACAAAAGAGAATGGTTAAAATTAAAAAGACTAACAATACCACATGCTGGGGTTTGGAAATGACTGGCATTTCTTATGAAGTTAAGCATACATCTACTCTTATTATCCAGCAATTCTACTTCTAGGTATCTCCCCAAGAGACCTATTTATTTACCCAAGAAAAATAACATAGTTCCAAAAAAAGATCTGCATAAGAATGGTCATAGCAGTTTTATCCCTGTTTTTTTTTTTTTTTTTTTTTTTTTGAGAAGGAGTCTCACTCTGTCGCCAGGCTGGAGTGCAGTGGCACAATCTCAGCTCACTGCAACCTCCACCTCCCGGATTCAAGTGATTCTCTTGCCTCAGCCTCCCAAGTAGCTGGGAATACAGGCACACGCCACTACGCCCAGCTAATTTTTGTATTTTTAGTAGAGACGGGGTTTCACCATGTTGGCCAGGATGGTCTCGATCTCTTCACCTTGTGATCCACCTGCCTCAGCCTCCCAAAGTGCTGGGATTACAGGCTTGTGCCACCACGCCCAGCCAGCAGTTTTATTCCTAATAGCCCAAAGCTGGAAACAAATTTTGATATATTCATACAACTGAGTATCACTGGAAAATGAAAAGGAAACCAGTGGTATCTGCAATAACATGGATGAACCTAAAAACTGATATGCTGAGCGAAAGAAGCCAGACACACAATCTATGAGTCCATCTGTATGAAATACAAGAACAAGCAAAATTAATCCATGATGACAAAATTCAAATGGTGGCTGCCCAGGAAGGGATGAGGAGAAATATGAGGATAGGCTGAGAAGGGGTACTGGGGAAATTTCCTTTTTCTCTTTTTTTTCAACTTTTAAGTTCAGGGATACAGCTGCAGGATGACAGGTTTGTTACATAGGGAAACGTGTGTCGTGGTGGTTTACTTCACAGATCATCCCATCACCCAGCTATTGAGCCCAGCATCCATTCGCTATTCTTCCTGATGCTCTCAGGGAAATTTCTTTGGTGACGAAAATGTTCTATTTCTTTATAAGGGCAATGGTTATATGCTTGTATGTATTTGTCAAAATGCATTAAATGTTATACTTAAGATATGAGCTTTTCAAAAAATTAATGAAAACTTCCATTCAGCAGCAATAATCTGCTCACTTTACTTTTCCATTGTTGCCTACAATAATGCAATTAGTCAAACTCTATTCTAGTGAATGCAGTACAGTGGTATTTTTCTAGCTTTGTTCTGTCCTCTTACCTTGTTAACTTCTGGTGTGAGGATCTCTATTTTCCTTAAACGTTGAAAAGCATCATAATCAGTCTCTCCAAATAGTCTGATTGGTTCTCCTCTTTCTCTCAATCTTCTGATGACCTACAAAGTGAAACAGATACCCAGTAAATTTTTTTTTTTTTTTTTTTTTTTGAGACAGTCTCACTCTGTTGCCCAGGCTGGAGTGCAGTGGTGCGATCTCGGCTCACTGCAAGCTCCGCCTCCCAGGTTCAAGCGATTCTCCTGCCTCAGCCTCCCGAGTAGCTGGGACTACAGGCGCCCGCCACCACACCCAGCTAACTTTTGTATTTTTAGTAGAGATGGGGTTTCACCATGTTGGCCAGGATGGTCTCAGTCTCCTGCCCTTGTGATCCGCCTGCCTCGGGCTCCCAAAGTGCTGGGATTACAGGCGTGAGCTAATGTGCCCAGCTATTAAACTTTTGAGAGAGGAAAAAACTAAACATCTCAAAAACAATTTGTATATTGTACCTTAAAAGCCAAGCCTGGGTTTAATAAAAGCTAATTATCCAAATACATGCCTCTGTGTAAAGTATAAAATCCTTCAAATATTTTAGATCATTTCAATTAAGCTAAACAAAGATGTTTCCAAATCAAAGAGAAAATCAAGTACTTTAAAAATCTATTTTGACTCAAAAGTCACTGTTATTAATTTTATCACTGAACAGCTCCTAGAAAGTGGTCTGACCTATGACTCTACAATTCAAGTCTAAAGAAAGACCCTAATATAAACCACCTCTTTTACTGTGAGATTTTTAAAAAATTCTTTTTTGTAAGAAAAGGGGCATGTCTGTGGCCCTCATTTTACATAATTATAACTGTTCTTAGTCTTCTTTTAAAAACAATGGAAAGACAATAGTAATCCCTTATGTCAGCATATTTTTGGTGATCAAACACTTGTTTTGAAATGTAGATGAAAAAAGTAATCTGTTTATTCTTTTAATTTTCCATAAACAGATATACTGTGTTACCATCACACCTTAAGTAACCATAAAGTTTAGGTCGTTTAGCTCACTGCTTCGATAGGACCAATCTGTGTGGCAGGACACACAGGAAAAACACTAAGATGGGAGGGAATGACAGCATTTATAGAGAGAAGGAAAATCAAATCTGAAGCCAGCTGATAATTACCATAATGGACAGTCTGCATTGTAATACCACCATGAAACCAAAAACTTCTCCCTCAGAAAACAGGGAGTTATAATCTGCATATGCAGAGCTTTTAAGATGCTGAAAATCTATTTCCAAACTTGGGTGATGGTTACATGAATATTTATTTTATAATTATTCATATATGTGTAACAAACATATATTGCCCTAACATGGTTCATACACTTTAT
This sequence comes from Homo sapiens, assembly GCF_000001405.40. Lineage (NCBI taxonomy): Eukaryota > Metazoa > Chordata > Mammalia > Primates > Hominidae > Homo > Homo sapiens. Next base: position 13,604,374 of record NC_000010.11, on the reverse strand, counting down.
ATACATGCTATGTATGTCATTTTAAAAAGGAAGAAAGAAACAGAAAACGTAATAAATACTAGTCCAAATTTTTTAAATAAAGCAATAATGAGAAACACCAAGAGCTTTACCTGGGAGCATAAATAGCATCACACCTAAAATCCATTGAGAGGGCTCCCAGTGGATTAACAGAAGTTTGAGATTAAAACAGAAATTTAAGAGGTCATCTAGTGCTATCTCCAATCAATGCAGAAATGACCTCACAAACACCCTTGTCAGATCCCTGGCTGACAAATGGCAGGAATCACATTTCTTCGTGAAACATCCCATCCCATTGTTTAGACAGAGATGTTTTGCTTCTCAAAACTGAAATCTACTTCCCCCAAACTTCTACCCATTTATCCCAGTTCCACTTTATGAAACTACAGAGAATATTCTGATTTTCCAAAATCAGAGCTACTTTCATTGGATTTTTAAAGATATCTCTAGTAATTCTTCTCTCCAGCCTCACTATTCTAAATTCCTTCACCTCATCTTCATATGATGGTTTCTAGAGTCAGTCACCATTCCCCTGAAAATTTCCTTTTATGCAATGTCCGTCATAAACATGTGGTAATGTAGAACTAAATAATAATACTACAAACATGTCAACTTGCGAGAAGTACAGAATACATAAGCCTTTGATCTAGACGCTTTATTTCTATGACTTACATTCAGTCCTATCCACAACTACAGAGGTCGAACAGGAAGAGACTACTGAGGACTCAAAGATGAAAGATGACCCTAAGTCAGTCAGTCAAAGACAAAAACAACCTCGACAGAAAAAAGAAAGGGAATGTGAGCTAGTTATTACTGTAAAACACTGCTTAAGATTGGGTGCTATAACTTAGGCCAAGTTGTGAGGAGTGCATAATATTTTTCTGGTTATCAGTTTAAATAGCTAACTCTCATCTACCTGGAATTATATAACAGTGGTTCTGTCTAAAGGCAAGGTAATAAACTACCTGACTTCGAAATTTCTTTTAGTGCAAGAATTCTATTATTCTAATTTTTTAAATAAAGAAGCTGAAATATACCACCACCACCACCACCACCACCACCTCCCCCAAAAAATGACACAGAGACTAAAGGGACATCAGTGAAAGAACTTAAGCCTCTGAGTCCTCTTTTACTATTTCAATAGACGCTCGCTGAGCAAAGGCAGGAACTTCTTCCCCATATCATGTCTACTACTTAACTGATGTACCACTATTAATCAGTAACAATGGTTTACTAATGATGGATCTCACAAAAAGAACAACTTCTTAAAACTACGTCGTCTTTTAACTCAAGCTTTTCAATGTTTAAAGATAAAGTAAATTCTAGGCCAGGCGCAGTGGCCCTCGCCGGTAATCCCAGCACTTTGTGAGGTCGAGGCGAGCAGATCACCTGAATCAGGAATTCAAGACCAGCCAGGCCAACATGGCAAAACCTCGTTTCTACTAAAAATACAAAAATTAGCAAGGCCTGGTGGTGCATACCTGCAGTCCCAGCTACTTGGGAGGCTTAGGCTTCAGAAACTCTTGAACCCGGGAGGCGGAGGTTGCAGTGAGCCTACATCATGCCACTGCACTCCAGCCTGGGAGACACAGTGAGACTTTGTCTCAAAAAATCGAAAAGTAACAGAATTCTAAAATATGTAAGTGACGTGAAATTTCAAGTATTTTGACTATGAAGTTAATATATACTCATTTGAGATACAAAATTAAAATATAAAGAAAATTACATTTTCTATATATAAAGAATGAGTTCATAAAGGTAGTGGAAAAAAATTAATATATCTTTGTTTAACTCTTAGGAACAGAGGAAACCTTTCCAAGCATGATGCTCAAGACAAAAAAAAAAACATAATGAAAAAGACTGATGTCATCGTATAAAAATGTAAAACTTCTGCATGGCAAAAAATAAATGATACACTGACAAATATATATATACACTATGTACATCTGATACATACACACTTATGAACACAGGTTAACACCCTTAACATATAAATATGTTGATCTGCAAATCAATAAAGACAAATTTCACAATATAAAAATGGCAATTCCACAAAACAAGAGACATTAACGACCACTGAACACGTGAAAACATGTTCAATTCTAATAATCACTAATAGAAAGTTTCACATTAACACAAGATACCTATTTCACCCATCAGTTTGGCAAAAATTTAAAATAATAATCTGCTTTCAGATTGGCAAAGGCTGAAACATTTTAAAATAAAGAGTTGACAGAAATGCTAGGAAGTCTTACATACTTACAGTTGGAATGTAAATTGGCACAGCTTCTTTGTAGGACAATTCCACACAATCAAAAATTACATAGACACACACTCTGACCAGAAATTATTTTCCTAGGAAATTATCCTATTGATAAACTCATACGAATATCAAGACATATGTATAAGGAAGTTCACCTTAGCACTGCATGTAAGGGCAAACAACTGGAAGTAATCTATCCATCAGTAAAGAGCTAATTTTAATAAATTACAGAACTACTACTAAAAACAATACCTAAATTTGTTGAGTAGCTCACTATTAAGGACTGTTCTCTTCATGCATTACCTTATTTTATCATGAAAGTCTCCTGAGGTAGACCCAATTGTTACCCTCATTCAGACATAAGGAAATTGAGAAACAGACCAGATAACCTGCCCAAAGCACATGTTTACTGTAAAAAATGTTCATACACACACACCCCCCAACATAAAATGGCCTTCAAAATGTACTTTTAAGTGAAAAGACTAAGGCACAAATGCATGTCATCTCATTTGTGTGAAAGGGAAAAAAGGTATACACATACACACTGACGCTTGTACAAGTGAAGAACTGGGTAGGAGGACTGATCGGGGCACAGGGGGAGTGGGAGGAAACGGAAGATAAGAAAAAGGGAAGACATTTTTGTTTTACAGCCTTTTGTATTGATTTGATTTCTTTATATCACTTGATTATCTTTAAATTTTATGATTTCTTTTAAGTAAAATAATAGTTGGTACTGATCAAGGTATAGACAAACACTATAAACACAACAGCTAGGAGTATAAAGTGGCACAACATGGCTAATACCTCCACAGCTATCTGGTAATATATATCAAGTCTTAAAAATATACGTAGTCTTTGCCCTAAAAATCATGCTTCTAGAAATGTTTCCAAAGGAAATAATCACACATTATTATGTATGCAATGATGTCTACATAAGGATGTTCATCTTAGTATTATTTATAATAAGCAATCTAAATGATCATCAATAAATGATTTTTTAAATATTACGGTGCGGCCAGGCGCGGTGGCTCACACCTGTAATCCCAGCACTTTGGAAGGCCGAGACAGGTGGATCACTTGAGGTCAGGAGTTTGAGACCAGCCTGGCCAACATGATGAAACCCCATCTCTACTAAAAATACAAAAAAAAATTAGCTGGGTGTGGTGGCACACGCCTGTAATCCCAGCCACTCAGGAGGCTGAGGCAGGAGAATCGCTTGAACCCGGGAGGCAGAGATTGCAGTGAACTGAGACTGCACCACTGTATTCCAGCCTGGGCGACACAGTGAGACTCTGTCTCAAAATAAATAAATAAAGAAAGAAACATTATGGAGCAAACAAGCAATGGGAAATTATACACTCATTCAAAATTATGTAGATCTCCATATTTTAATCTGGAAAGACGTATTATTAAATAAGGGAAAGGGAAGTATGTTACAAAATAATAATTAAAATAATTTAAGTATAAATATTTAGCATAAGAGCATTTAATTATACTTATTTTTGAATATTCATGTTTATTTTTTAAAGTTTAGAAGGATAAGCTCTAAAAAAAGTTAAGATAATAATACCAAGAAAAGAAGCAGTGAGTAATTTAGAACTTCATGAAGAAAACTAGCTGCACAGCATTTTTAGATAAGTCATTTTACGCAGGAAATAATGACGTTTAACTTATTGGAAAAGCTGGAGATAAATGTAAACACCGTGGAGATCTTATTCTCATGAAACCATCACAAATAAACTTACCTCTTGCCTAGAAAGCGTCATAGGTAATTTTTCCTCTGCCAGTTCAAGTTCTAACACTGGATTCGATGAAGTTAATGGTTTCTGGTCCTCCTCTTTTGGCTGTATCTATATTAATAGCCAAAAGAAATGAAATTCAGCTTTAAAAATATAGTTGATATTTATCATTCCATTACCTTAGCTATGGAAGTTAAACATGTTTTCAACACTGAAGATTTTCTAATATTCCTCTGAGCAAAGAGCTCACAATAAGTGTACATGCTTACAAAAGAGAGTCAAACGTATTCACGTCAGGGGCATCACAAGTCCAGAGCATGCACAGAGGAATCAGCATTCTTGCTATAAAAGAGTGACACGACTACCACGATTTCCAAAATCCAAATTTAACAGGGCTGAAATTTGCACTCTCTTTCTCCCCAGATTCTAAAGACTGTACTTTTTCCTTAAAAACCAGCAACTTGCTCTTCCTCTTTAAATTGTCTTGCAGGGTTATTTGATTCTTGCTCGGCTTCAAAATGAAGATAAAAGAATTTCTTTCCAACAGCAACCTGAGAAACTTCAAGCTCTAGCTTTTCCTATCCTGCTTTTCAAAACGTATTATTCCAAATGTAAGAAAATCATGTTGGACATACAGAAAAATTCCTAATGCTACGAAGAGTTGGTCCAAACTGAGCTACCAACCTTGCAGAAACACAAGGAAAAAAGCACCTGTCTACTAACGCCACCCAGGAAAACAGTGGGCATTCTTGTTCATATGAACCTGTAGGAAAAACAATCTCTTCACATATTTTCTCAAATCTGTTGCTCAAGTCTCAGTTTAAGAAAACTGAATTCAGCAATTTACAAGCCCCTTTGTGGAGTCTATAAAAAAGATACTGAAACGTGGTTTCCCATCTGACCATAAGATAAATCCAAAATGCTGAAAGTAGGAGTAAGATCAAAAGAACATAAAAGAAGATCAACATTAAGGAAGAAACTCACATTAAGAAAGGCTATATGGTAAAAATTACATAATTCATGATTCTATAGCTTACAGTTCAAGTTTATGTTTACCGTAACTAATTGATACTGAGGTAAAATTAAGGTAACAAACTAAGCCTTTCTATTTTCACAGGTCAAATCAGCACCAAGCCTTAAAAAATGCTAACTCATTTCTACAAAAGAATAAAAGGAATGGATACCATGTCATTACTACCAAGAAGGAAATCTTTAAAAATCTTTAGAAAGAAACACCTGTGCTTTACTTTTTAAGCATGGAAACATATTTCTCCAAAAATCTCAGGATTAAAAACACATTTAATTATATAATGGCAGTTAATAGCTCTGGGGAAAAAATCTAAGTCATTTCATGAGCTGGACTCGAAGTTATCAACAATTATCTTTACAGTAATTACTTTCCTTCAGGGCTTTCCTCTATAAAAACAAAAAAACACACTAAACAAAAGCAAAAACTGCCACTATATTAAGTTACTTTCCTACCTTATCAAATAGTTGAAAAGGTTCAAATTTAAGAATCTGGGAATGCCACAAGCCAGCAGAGTAAACCTATGTAAGTGATTCTTATTCCAGACCAAGTGTGTGTTAGACAACACTGGGCAAGGCAAAAATGAGAGTTCCTTTCTGAATATCTATCTACTCAATGGTTATTAACATAAAACTTATTTTCATTTCTAATTAAGCAAATAAAACAAATATCTTTATGGAAAAAATCAAAATACAAGTTTAAACTTTCCCATATTTTAAAAACATCAGAAATATAATTACATTTTAAAATTTTTTTAAGTCACTTCTTGGTATCTTTTGAAAACTACATTTTTCTTTAATACTTGTCTTCTCCCAGCACTACAAAATCAAACCAAATGCATATACATACCATGTGCATTCCTCATGCTTCCTTCTAAAAATGCTATGCAGGATAAATCCATTTCCAGAACTTTCCCCATTACATGCACAAAAGTATTATCTTATATTGATATTTTACAAGCAAAAGGTTAATTACAAGTTTATGATTTGGCAAAAGTATTCCAATAGAACCTCTGAGCTTTGAGTTAAAAATTAAGCTAGATATAGTCTTCTTTTAAAATAATTTAAACGTAACTTCTCCACCTTATACCCTTTAACCCCTCCCAATAAAACCACAATACATTATCAACTAATTTCTTCTAAAATATACAAGCAAAGCCTTCCAGACAACTCATTTGTTTCTAAGAAATATTTCAAGATGACATTTTCTATCCAACAGACTAAACAGTGTTTGAAATGTGATACCTTATTACAACAAAGGCATATAAATATATACGGCTTTATACTTTAGGCAGAGGTTCTTAGGACCCAAAAGGACGTATTAACAATGCAAACATAAAATCGATGGCTTAAAATATTCCGGAGAAGGCAGGAAAATTACCACCACTAATATTACTGTGGCTGGATGAATAAATGTTTTGAAGTCTTTCCAAATAGACTGTTTTATTGGGAGAGGTGGGGGAGAGGAGTGGTGGTGGAGCTGAAAATAACGCAGTCTCAGATTCAGGACTTTATTAAAAAAAAAAAAAAATTCAAGCTTTGATCTCAAGCCACTTCATGCCGTCCACAAAAAGCCAAACCATTCCAAGCCAAAAGTCATGCATGTATTTTCCTGAATTCAAGATTTTTTTAAAAATGCAAAAACAAAAACTCATACCTCTCCAGATGGCTTCTCATTTATAGGCTAACGTATATTGATAAATTGAACAGAGATCAATGATTGTCATTTAACAACAGCTGTATAAATTTAAACTCAGAAATGTACAATTTAACATAAAAGCAGACATTCATACCTTGTAGCCACATCTTTCAAAATATGCTTCCTCTTCTTTTTTGGCGAGCTCACTACGCTTGAAATATTTTTTATTTTCCTATTAAAGAAAATAAATTATGTCAATAATATATCCTTGAGCAAAATTTCATGTCCCATAGTCAACAAATACCTTTAGAAAACTTTGGAAACACTCTTCAGTTTTTCAAGAATTGGATAAAATAAATATTTTTTGGTTCCAGAGATGAATACATTGATTCCCCAAGCACATCAACAACCCTCCACTACGACTATGGGCACCGATATGTGGTAAGTTCAAGTATTTTTCTTGCAGTATCAATCAGTAGGCAAGTCCATCAGCAAAGAGGAGACCAAGAATATTTTCCAAATGTTTTCACTTCTTAATGTCTGAGTTCAATGATAATTTCTTCAAATGGATTCATTATGAAACACATAAAATGGTATACCTCAATTATTTTTTCCTAACAGAAACAAAATTATGACATATATAGCCTACATTTGATATCCCACATAACAAGGGAACTCCAGGAGTGTAAGTTCTTTCTTGTTACCTGGAACCTTATTATATCAATCAGTTCTTAAAATAATCTACATATAGGGTGGTCTTGGTGAACTCTTTTATTTAAAAAATGATTTAAGGATATTTGGGGTTTTTTGTGCGTTTTTCTGGTTTTCTGTTTGTTTTGGAGACAGGGTATCTCTCTGTCACGCGGGCTGGAGTGGAGTGGCACAATCAAGGCCACAACTTCGACTCCCTGGGTTCAAATGATCCTCTCACAAGGTATTTGTTGTGATATGATTTGATGTAAAGAGACAAGCTCTAAATCTTGTCTGTGGCTAAAAAGATGTCAGTCCTTTCCACATTATACATAAAATTATCCTTATTGTTACATCTACAGTCCGTAATTTGGAGGCTTGTTGCCATCGCAGCTCTGCCTCTTGGATATTATTCCAAAGATGGCTTTGTTCAAATAAAGACACTGTCCCCGACTGTATTAACAGTAATGATATAATATTACCTGTGTACTACCTCCACACAAGTATTTAGCACCTCATAGTTCCAAAGCTCATTCACTCAGACAATGATCATCAATGGATGCTAAAACCTTATGAAAAAGGCCAATGGTGACAATGGAAAGATGAGCCTGCCACCATTTGAACCCAATGATCAAGCTTGACATCAGTAAAAGATTATGTACCACCTATGTTATACTACAGGAATTACCCAGCCATCGTCTACGAAGTATCCTTGTTAAATGTAGGGAAGAGAGGAATTAACTAAGTGTCAATATGCCAGGAAGCAATTACACAAATCAAAGACATTTTACAAAACTAGCCCCAGTTTCTCCAGCAAGTCAATGGCATGGAAAAAATCAGCCAAGTTGAGAAAATGACAACGTTCTTCATTAAAAGAAACCAAGATTCATAATAAGCAAATGCAAGGATTGAACTTCGTGTTGACCTGACTTGAAAAACCAACTGTAAAAGCAAATGTATGTACATATTTTAATTCAGTTGGAAAATATACGAATGTGAGAAGAGTATCTGATAAAATTAACAAACTAATTTTAATTTTGTTGGGTGTGATCATATTTTGGTTTTAAAGGAACATGTCATTTTCTAGAGCTGCATGTTTCAGGGGAAGGATATACAGGGGCTCATCATAAAATTTTATCTATTTTTGTATTATGTTTAAAACTTTCAGAATAAGGTTTTTCTAAAAGTTCATTCCTTAATTCAATAAACATTTCCAGACTTATCTACCACACAACAAGCACAGTTTTACGGAAATAAAGATGAAGATGTTATCTGGGGTAAGGAACCGATGGTATCATCTGAACATCAAAACTACCCTGAGTACGGTGGGGGCAAATAGTATTAACCCCTTTTTAGAGATGAGAACGCTGAGAATTAGGTTAGGTGACATTCCCAGAACTCAGGAAGAATGATGAGTAGCAACTAGAACTCTGGTCCTTAAACCCTTTGTTCTGATCTAGTCTTCCAAGCTACAGTTCTTCACTCCCAAAATATTATTTCGGCATCTAAAATTGTTTTTGACTAGGTAGTATATAATTGTCATATTTCAAATAAGTTGGCAAACACACATTGGTATCCTCTCAGAAAGGGCTGTGTAGAAAGAAAGGAAAAAACACTCTCCAGGCCGGAGGCCATGGTCCAATCTTTTTAACTATGTTATCTTTGATGACCATGTCTCAATTCCATTGAACACACCTAACAAAATCTCAAGCCTAGAACATCTCAAAATGTGGTCCACAGAGGCTCTTTCAGAGGTTTTGCAAGGTCAAATTTATTTTCATGATATACTAAGACATTATGTGCCCCGTTTTCATTGTGCTCAGATTTGCACTGACAGTCCAAAAGCAACATGGGGGGAGGATTTGGGAAGGGGGACTACTGGCATCAGCAAAAATAAAGGCAAGGCCTTCAAACTGTATTCTTCACCAACATGCACTTACAAAAAAATAAAAAGTCTAGTTTCTCTTAAGAATGTCCTTGACGAAGTATAATTAGCATAATTTTCCTAAATCTCAACCTTTGAGTACACAGCCTTTTAATAATCAGCATGAAAAAATAAAATGTATAAAGCACTTTTGTTACATACTAAAGTAGAATGGTTTCCTCAAAGAAAAGCACTTGTGCAATTGTTTGATTAGTCAGATTTGGGTGTTTGGTAGACATTTTCTCAGAACTGAACAAAACAAGCTTAAAGCTAAAAGAAAACAATGATAGTATTTACCACCGATGATAAAATTCCAGCTGTCAAGTGAGAACTGGAAAAGTGGAAAACTTGTACCCACCACCAGGAGCTTAATAGCTTCCCAATACTTGAAGCCTTTTCCAATGAAATCAGTGGTGATATTAATGAGATTTTTTAATATTATCTAATCAAAAATGTCAACATTAAGAAGATCTGCATAATTCACTGAACCATGACATTACAAAATCAAGATGTTACAAAATCACATCTAGGTAAAAAGATCCATTCAAAGAGCAAAATAGAACAGGCTTTAATGTATGAAAAGTTCATTGAAATGATTTCAGAATCCACATTGCAACTGATCTTTAAGAAACCAATTGTCTAGTTTTGGTGTAGTATCAAGAAGAATATCCACAATTATCTGAAAAGGCTATTAAGATACTCCTTTTTCTAACTACTTATCTGTGGATGAATTTTCTTCGTGTACTTGAAAACAACATACAGCAACAGACTGGAGAGAGAAATAGAATCCAACTACTATGCCAGAGGTTTCTAAAACAATGTCACTTTTCTCACTGAAGTGTTTGTTTTCGCAAATATAGTCTTTTCATAAAAATATCTGTTAGCATACTATGGGTTTATTATTGCATTTCTACATGGAATATACATTTTGTAATTTCCTGGCTTTAATTTCTAATACGGTAATTATCAATAAATGTGTCCTATGTAAATAAAAGCTCTCTGGGTCTATCAATAATTGAGAATGAGACCTGAGACCAGTAAGTTTAAGTCCACTTGGCGTTCTCCATGCCTATAGCATGCGCAAAACAATGCTGGCAAAAACCACTGGGGCCTCAACATTGCCTATTGGTCCTGGGGTATTTACCCATTTCATTTTCTTTCCTATTGTCTACACTGACCATTCCACTGTCTCCATTCTCACGAATTTCCCATCCTTTCATTCTCCCCTCATTTTCAGCAGATGACTAAACCATCTCATTTTATGGAAGCAACCAGTCAGGAACTCCTCCAAATTCCTCCCAACTCCAGTCATGAGCTGGATCTTCATTGGTCCTTTCATTTCACAGTGAAACAGAGAACCCTCCTCTGTCTGTCTAGGGCAAATCCCTTGCCAATTACTCCAGACCTCAATTCCTCAGGGACTTCTCACCATCAATGCTGTTTTCTCCTTCGCATATTCATCCTTCCCCTCTCTACTGGCTCTTGACAATTATAATTTAAGTATGCTCAAGACTCTGCCCTGGGTATCATTTACAGCAGAACCACATTAAACTGTTTAATCTAATCCGTGTCCACTTCCTTACCCCCAATTCTCTTTGCAGCCCCACAGCATGTGGACATCCATTCTGTTTCACTGAAAAAACCTCCTTGGGGTCATAAATAATGTCTAAGATACAAATCCAAAGAGACTTCTCTGACTGATCTCATCCAGTCTTCGATTTAACTGCTCATTCCTTCCTTCCTTCAGTAACTTTCTCCTCTTAGCTGACAGATTCTTCTTATGTCTTCCTCACTTACTGGTTTGCTTAGATTTTCTATTTCTTGTATTTTTTTGTACTTTTTAGCCATTTACTTCACTTAGATTTTCCAATGTATTAGAACTAGTATACAGTTTTCCTTACTAATTTTATTTTCCAATGTCTCCCATGTTGGTTCCTGCCATTCCTTCCATTGGTCCTTCATTTCAGAATGTTTTGTATAATGTGGGGTAGGGGTTGTTGCTTATTATTTCCGTATGGATATCCAGTTGTTCAGCATCATTTACTGAAAATATCTTTCCTTCCATTTGGTTTTAGTGTATTTGTCAAAAATCAATAATTGTGTAAGGGTGGCTCCGTTCTGGGTGCTCTGTTATACTCTAGTGGTGTTAGCTGTTGCTCTTTATGCCAGCGCTATGCTGTTTTGATTATTGTAGCATTGTTACTGCAGCACAGCATAGTATCTTGCATATAGGAAAGATGCAGTAAATACTGGAAGGAAAAAAAGCTAAAATTCTGCACATAGCTCATCCTCATAACTACAACTAGTAAAACTACTAATTACTCCCCATTGAGTTTCTAGAGCAGCCTGGTTTTCCACACGAGGTTTTGCATTAAATGAAAACTCACCAATTCTAGGCTCCAAAACACTGGTGTTCTAGCAATGCAGACACATTTACCTCAGGGTGGTTACACCAGGCAGGGCACTTTAGGACAGGTGGTAAGAGGATATCTTAGTCACTTCTCTGCAATTTGAGAAAGAGGCACTCACAAGCTAAGTACTGATTATTTCAACTATCACAGATTAACCACAAAAAGCTGGGACACCACTTGAAATGACCAAAGATGAGGTGGCTCTTCTTTCTGCAAGAGCAACACCACACAGACAACTGTTTTCCAGCTACAGATGCGGTAATGACAACAATCTACTGATCCCTGACCCGTGTTTTCTAAAAAATTAAAACAAAGGGACTTGCTCTTCCCCATCTTGTAAGATGGTGGGTGAAAAAGTTGAGAAGCCGGATACTAAAGAGAAGAAACCCAAAGCCAAGAAGGCTGAGGCTGGTGACAAGGTGAAAAAGGGTCACCTCAAGGCTAAGAAGCCCAAGAAGGGGAAGCCCCATTGCAGCACAACCCTGTCCTTGTCAGAGGAATTGGCAGGTATTCCCGATGTGCTATGTATTCCAGAAAAGCTGTGTATAAGAGGAAGTACTCAGCCGCTAAGTACGAGGTTGAAAAGAAAAAGAAGGTTCTTGCAACTGTTACAAAACCAGTTGGTGGTGACAAGAATGGTAGTACCCAGGTGGTTAAACTTCATAAAATGCCTAGATATTTTCCTACTGAAGATGTGCCTCAAAAGCTGTTGAGCCATGGCAAAAAAAAAAAAAAACCCTCAGTTGACACGTGAGAAAACTGCGAACCAGCATTACCCCGGGGAACGTTCTGATCATCCTCACTGGATTCCACAGAGGCAAGAGGGCGGTCTTCCTGAAGCACCTGGCTAGTGGCTTGTTACTTGTGACTGGACCTCTGGTCCTCAATCGAGTTCCTCTATGAAGAAAACACCAGAAATCTGTCATTGCCACCTCAACCAAAATTGTTATCAGCGATGTAAAAATCCCAAAACATCCCACTGATGCTTATTCAAGCAGCAGCAGCTGCAGAAGCCCAGACACCAGGAAGCTGAGATCTTCAGCACAGAAAAAGATAAATACAAGATTACAGAGCAGCACAAGATTGATCAGAAAGCTGTGGAGTCACAAATTTTACCAAAAATCAAAGCTATTCCTAAGCTCCAGGACTACCTGCGATCTGTGTTTGCCCCGACTCATGGAATTTATCCTCACAAATTGGTGTTCTACATTTCTTAAGAAGAACCTAATTAAATAACTGATAACAAAAAAGGAGGACTGAATAAAACATGATAAAATCATTTGTGGTTGTAAGAATTATTTCATAAAACTTTTTTCACATACATATCAGATCAATATATAAAAATGTATTGCTATGAACGGGGCAGTGAAAAAGTCTGTAAGTTACTGACAGACACTGTGATGCAGAAAGATGAAAAATATAAAGCAACTATTCTGCATGAAATGATAGAGCTGCAGATCTAAAGACTGTCTTCCCATGGATACAACAGAAAAGACGCCTAGTTGTGTATGTTCCCTTACATCATGCAAGAGCACTCACCCTCAAGTTGGTCTAAGACTTGAGATCTATCCCGGCTGGCCACAGGAATATGAGAACATCGTGTAACCCTCTAAGCCTCAATTTCATCATCCATGAAAACAGCATTGCCTTGTGCACTAATTAACCGTTGTAAAGCTCAAATCAGATAGCATATAGCACTTTGAAAAATATAAATCATGTTAGTCTAATAATTTTCCAGTGCTTTGTTACATTAGCCCTATCAAAACTAGTTCTATGTTTGTAAGGTGAATAAATATCCATTCTATCTGTACAGGTTAACAGATCAGGCTCTGAAGTAGGAACAGACCAGGGTTCAAATCCAGGCTCTATCTCTTGCTAGCTGCATAATCCTATAGTCATGTAACTTCTCTTAGCTTCCAGTTTCCTCATCTGTAAATGGGAACAATGGCAACTTGTTGTACAAGTTAGAAAACACATATTGCATGATGCCTAACATTACTGCTAATATAAACTATGAATGTCAGTATTTTTTTTTTTTTTTTTTGAGATGGAGTCTCGCTCTGTCGCCCAGGCTGCAGTGCAGTGGCACAATATCAGCTCACTGCAAGCCCCGCCTCCCGGGTTCACGCCATTCTCCTGCCTCAGCCTCCTGAGTAGCTGGGACTACAGGCACCTGCCACCATGCCCAGCTAATATATATATATATATATATTTTTTTTTTTTGTATTTTCAGTAGAGATGGGGTTTCACCGTGTTAGCCAGGATGGTCTCAATCTCGTGATCTGCCCACCCCAGGCTCCCAAAGTGCTGGGATTACAGGCGTGAGCCACCGCGCCCGGCCGAATGTCAGTATTTTAATTCCCATTTCATGTACGCCCTTTGTTGGTCTGAACTGCTCTGTGATTGAAAAAATCAATCTTATCTTCTGGCTGGAATTATGTGATAATTCAATCAACTACCAAATTAAAAAATGAAAGACACCCAGGAAAAGTTTATATATTATAAATTATAAATGACCCTGAAGAATCTAAAGTTTTTTTTTTAATGATCATTTTTGTAGATTGGTGCATTTCAATGACGAAGAACATGATTATGCAAATATTCATGTTGTGAACCTTGAGGGTGGGCTGAATATTTTGTGATTCACTTTTCCCTTTAAAGCACTTAGATTTCAACACCCTGGCCCTTCCTAACATCCACTATGCACTCCAACACCTAAATTTAAAATACTCCCAACCACTCATCAAAAGGTCCCTGCAGTAGACATAAAAACATTTACAAATATGAACAAGCTTTTCCCCATACCTACCAAACAGCATTCTATTACCTCCACTTTTCTAATTGTTTTTAAAGTTTCAATGATCATGAAATTTGCCATTTACCAAGCTAAGAACTCTAACTTACTTACACTACATCACATACATCAATCGTACACAACATCCAAATATCTAAGTCAGATATTCTGTGATGCACGGATTTCCATGGGTCCTGTAGACCCTCTGAGAGGACTCATGAGGTCAAAAGTGTTTTCTACAGTAAGGCATTATCTGCCTGCTCACTCTGATGACATCTGCACTGTAGGTGAAAAGCAATGGTAAATTTGCTAAAGCCTTAGCAAGAACCAAGGCAGTGACTCTAAACTGCCACTGCAGCCAGAGGGAGCCAGTTTCTCTAAACAAATTTACTCCTTATGATAAAGGAGTAAAATTACTATTTTTATTAAGTCTTGATCTTTGGCCATATCTTTTTAATATTATGTGACAAAACAGGAAAGATGCATACAACAATTCTCATTTATACTAAAGTTTGCTGGTTGTGTGGAGGAAAGTAATTGAGTTGCAAGCTAAACTGGCTTTTTCACGGAATACCATTTTTACACTTAAGAACACCCGGCAAACCATGGTTCTTCAGACTTGGGTATTTGGCAGACAACTTCCCCAAACTGAACAAAGTGAGCAGATCACTTCAAGAAAATAACTGATAATATTTGTTGCCTATGATAAAATTCCAGCTTCCAAGTGGAAATTAAGTGTGGTGAACTTAGATCTGTCATCAGGAGCCTGACAGTTTCCTAATGCTTACAGATGTTTCTCAGATCAGTGGATATTAAATGAAGTGATCTTTTCATATTTTGTAATGAAATGTGTCAACAGGTGGGAGACCTGCATAATTCAGTAACCCAATGTTTTCCAAATGATCGATCAGTGAGTATTTTTAACGTTTCTCAGTTTTAACTTCTAATATGGTAAATACGGATAGAAATAACACATAAACAAAAGTCCTTCAAGATCTTCAGTAACTTTTAAGAGTGTGAAGGGGTCCTGAGACCAAAAGCTTTGAGAACCAGCGGTCTAAGTTACTGCTACACAATAAAGTAAGGGAGATCATCTTCAGGAAGTTCCTAAATCATGTAATTCTTTCTCCCCCTTTTTAGTACCTTTCCAAAAGAGTCTTAGCATTCCCATCAGTGAAGAGCAGGCCTACAGACTTTTCATGTGTTGAAGAAGAGAGAAGGAGGAGGAATAGAATTTAAAAAATTGGGATTTACTATTAGAAAGGAATTTTATTACTTTTTTTTTTTTTTTTTTAGAGACAGGGACTCGGTCTCTCACCCAGGCTGGAGTGCAGTGGCACGATGATAGCTCACTGCAGCCTGAACTCCTGGGCTCAAGCGATCCTCCCGCCTTGGTCTCCCAAGCAGCCGGGACTAGACGCGCGCACCACCACACCTGGCTAGAAGGAATTTTTTTTTTTTTTTGAGACGGTGTCTCACTCTGTCGCCCAGGCAGGAGTGCAGTGGTGCGATGTCGGCTCACGGCAACCTCCGCCTCCCGGGTTCAAGTGATTCTCTGGCCTCAGCCTCCTGAGTAGCTGGGATTACAGGCGCGCACCACCACGCCCAGCTAATTTTGGTGTTTTTAGTAGAGACGGGGTTTCACCATGTTTGCCAGGCTGGTCTCGAACTCCTGACCTCAGGTGATCTGCCCACCAAAGTGTGGGGATTACAGGTGTGAGCCACCGCGCCCGGCGGCCCTTCCTCCATGTTTCAGTTGGGCACAAACCCTTCGTAAGGCGACAGAAGGGAACTCTCAGGAGCACTGGGGCACGTCCGCAGAATGCCAACAGGTAGGAGCGGGGATAGGGGGCAGTTAGGTAAACTGGAGGGAAACAGGGTCAGTCGGGGGAAAACAAACAAAGCCTCGGGTTTTCCTGCAATTCCCACACCTGCATCCCTAAGGCTCCCAAGTGGTTACCGGAAAGAAGGCCGTGAGTGTAAGTTGCCCGGGTCCTTGGCGTTTTGAACAAAGAATTGGACAAAACGCACAAAAAAAGTAACAAAACACAGGAATGAAGCAGCAAAAGTAGGGACTTATGAACGCGAGAAAGCACTCCACAGGGTGTGAGTGGGCCCGAGCAAGCGGCTCGAGGCCCCGGTTACAAAGTTTTCCGGGTTTTAGGTACTCCTTCTGAGGTCCCTATCAGCTACCCCGTATCTGGATGAAGGGTTCGGTCTGTGGCTAAAGACTGAGGTGAACTGGCGCCCTATGCAGATGAAGGGATGGCCCGTGATTGGCCCACGGCCAATGCAGGGCACGTTCCCTTCCCATCTGAGAGGTGGTGGAAAGGCAGGGATGCGGGGAGAGCCGCAGCCTGAAGCCTTTGCTACTCGGTGGTGGGAAGATGAGGATTTTTCTTTTGGTTTGGCTTTTGGACGTGGGCGTTAATTGGCCTCAGGTTCCCGCCCCCAGACCCAGGTGTTTTCCTTTTGATCCAGCTTTGGGAAGTCAGCACGAATTGTACTCAAGTTCCCTGCTCTCAGACCCTATTCTCCAGCCTCAACAGTGAGACGCCAAGGGTTGGATCTAAGGGGGCCTACCAGGGGTAGTGGCAGGACACTCGCTAAGCCCCGTCCCCGCCCCGAATCCTCTGAGTATCGTCACCCTCACCCCAAAACCCCGACACACATACTCTCACTCTTACATCCCGACCCCCACGACCGCAGGGTCCTCACCACCAGCAGGTTCCTGTCCTCCACCAGCTGCCGCTTCCGAAGGATCTCTGATTTCAGAATGTCCATCTCGCCGCCAGAATTTAAGCTCCAGTTTCCCGCTCCAGCTCCTCGAACCCAGCCTCACTGGGCCGGCGGCCGCGAACCCACTGAGTATACGGAACAACAAGCCCAAACACCTGAGAACAACTGACAGGAGCCGCTTCCGGCGGAAGCTGGGATGAGAGAGATGAGGGAAGAGAGTGGCCCGGGGCGCCTGTGGTGGCCAAAGCAGCTGTGCGTGAGTGCCCACTGGCGGCGCCCTCCGGCAGCGCGCCTGTAGTTTCCCCTCGTAGGGAGGTTTACGTGAACGTGGACGGAAACCCGGGTCTTTGTAGTACTCTCTGCACCTGCTAGTTGAGTTCCAAAAGCCTCTCGAAGAACACCTCAATAATGCCAGTTAAATCAAGATCTTTATTAACTGGAAATTTACATTAGGGTTTCTGAAGTTACTTGCTTGCAAAATTTGCAAAAGGATGAGAAAAATCTAAACAATAATACTAACTTGTAACAATAGAGTGAAAGGGCTGTCTGTTCATTACTAGCCTGTTAAATTTCCTGTGAACTTAAACGACTACAACCATTTAAAGCAGTTTGGAAGTCAATTTATCTTCACTCCCTCTGTTTTAGATTGCTTACCAATCTTGGTGATAATTGAACATTTACCTCAAGCTAACTAATCATTTTTTGGTCATGTGTTCAGCAATCAAGATTTTTCAGTGACATGATTGGAGATGTAATCAGAAATTCCTTTTTTTTTTTTAAATCCAACCCAAGGGAAAAAAAGTTAAATTGAAGAGAAAAATTATGTCAGAGATTTTTTAAGTCCCTAACATTTGTTTACAGTGGACTTATTTTTTTCATGTCATTGAAGCACGTTTAAAAATTGTTTTTGTGAAATCATAATTGAACAATATTTGACATTTCGTTTTTCTTACTCAAAAAAGGTAAGAAATATCATTTTGTTGAGTCAGCTGATAATGGGTAAAATGCTTTACAAAACAAAAAAATGAACAATTGAATTATTTCAATTTAGAAAGTCTTTTGTGGGGGGTGATACTTCATCTAAAAGATATCTGAGGCCAGACGGGGTGGCTCACCCCTGTAATCCCAGAACTTTGGGAGGCCGAGGTGGACAGATCACCTGAGGTCAGGAGTTCAAGACCAGCCTGGCCAGCATGGTGAAATCCCGTCTCTACTAAAAATACAAAAATTAGCCAGGCGTGGTGGCAGGTGCCTATAGTCCTAGCTACTCAGGAGGCTGAGACAGGAGAATTGCTTGAATCCGGGAGATGGAGGTTGCAGTGAGCCGGGATCATGCCACTGCAGTCCAGCCTGGGTGATAGAGCAAGACTTTGTCTCAAAAACAAAACAAAATAAAATAAAATATACCTGACTTTTGCCAGAAATAAGCCAACACAGGAAAATGTCCTTGAACTAAATATGGCAACACTCTTGCATGAATATGGGTTTCCCTCACTAATCAATGAGCAAATAATAATTTATTAGCATTTTCCTGATTTAGGGATTAGGGATTGTTAGACACAAAAAAAACCTGAAGGGTTAAGACAGATGACAGTAACAGCAATGGAAGTTTACAGAGAACACAACGGCTGGCTACCTGGGAAACTGTCAGTGTAAACCAGAGAAGTTACTAGCTACAGTTAACAGCCTCCCCTTACATTTTAGACTTTCATTGATTTCTACGTTTATGTAAACATGTGCACTGAATCCTGATTAAGGCCTGAGATCAAAGAGTGATAGAGAGAAATACTTGAACAAGCAACTGACAAGCAAGCTTTTCCATTCAAAAGGAAGGAAAAAAGATATCCAGGAGCTTTTAGAAATACTTAAAAGAGGCCGGGCACAGTGGCTCACGCCTACAATCCGAGCACTTTGGGAGGCCAAGGCAGGCGGATCAGCTGAGGTCAGGAGTTTGAGACCAGCCTGGCCAACATGGTGAAACCCTGTCTCTACTACAAAAATAGCCGGGCTTGGTGGCACACACCTGTAGTCCCAGCTATTCAGGAGGCTGAGGCAGGAGAATCGCTTTAACCCGGGAGGCGGAGGTTGCAGTGAGCCAAGATCGCGCCACTGCACTCCAGCCTGGGTGACAGGGCAAGACTCTGTCTCAAAAAAAAAAAAAAAAAAAAAAAAGAAAAGAAAAGAAACACTTAAAAGAACAAATCGCCGTGACCCTAAGAGAGACCATATTCATTTAAAAAAACATGCATCCCATTTCATCACAATCATTATTTAAAAAGTGAAATATTGGGACTGGGTACAGAGGCTCACACTTGTAATCCCAGCACTTTGGGAAGCCAAGGCAGGAAGATCACTTGAACCCAGGAGTTCAAGGCTGCAGTGAGCATTGATCGCACCACTGCACTCCAGCCTGAGTGGCAGAGTAAGACACTGTCTCTAAAACAAAAATAAATAAATGAGAGATAAAAATGAAAAATTGGAAACAACCCAAGTGTTCTAAATGGAGGAATAGTTAAATAAAATATAGTTTATACACACAACCAAATAACATGGCATCATTAAAAACCATGTTTTTAAAAATTCAATGGTATGGGAATGCTCATGATACAATGTTCGGTCCAAAAGTAGCATAATGAAACTTTATAGCATATAGTCTCTGCTTTTTAACAAAAACATAGACATATGCTTCTTAACAAAAACATATAGACGTAATAAAACATTGATTGGAAGGAAACATACCAAAATATCAAGTTTTTATCTGGACAGTAGAACAATTGGGGATTCTTATTTTCTGCTTTTTACCACAATTTGGTACAAATCTCATAATATGGGGGGAAAATTCAGGTATCAGTCTTTTTCTGTTTAATTATTATTTAGACTATTTATAAATTTTCTAGCATGTCTATTTTAGACATTGTATATGATAAATTTTGAAGAGTATAAAAGAAAGCAAAGAATTAGATAAAGAATTTTTTAAATTTCCATAGTTATTCAATCTAATATTTAAATATCTTATATATGAGCTCTATACTACATTAGCTTCTGTGACCTAAACCAAAACATAGACCCTGCCCACAAAGAGATAGCCAGTTAGTTGGGGAATCAAGAAATAGACCTTAAAAAGTTAAATTTTGTAAGATTTAATAGTGTATATGTGGCTATAATTTCAGAAATTAAAAATCAGTCATCTTCTAAAAGAAAAAAGGGTAAAAATCAGTACAGGATTGATGAGATATTCCTCTGTAGAGGTAACTCATCCTAGGAAATTATTTGTCATTTCTGGAGACTGGAGGGAAATGCCAAATTGAATCAGGATCACCTGGATTTGTTTTGTGGCTGCCCTAAAAGATGGAATGTAACTTAAACAGCAAAGAAAAGCTCTATGATTCAATACAGTGGCTCTCAATCCTTAACATGCTTCAGGATAACCTGGAGGACTTTTTGAAACACAGACGGCTGGTCCCCAACCCCAGAAATTGTCTTTCCATAGGCTTGGGGTGGGACCCAAGATTTTGCTTTTTGAACAAACTCCCAAGGGAGATGGATGCTGTTGATCCAGGGACCTCATTTTGAGAACTGCCGACCTAATATATTATTTTGTCATCTCCTGCGGGGGAAAAAGTGCATTTGCAGTCTGAAATGCAGTCTGCACAAGTCTTCAGAATTGGAGCAGAGCGGGAAGGCTGGTCGGTGGTGTCTGCAGCACGGTCACAGGCACCTCAAAGGGCACCCGTCCACTCCCAGTAATGCTGCTTCTGGGAATTTCCTAATGGCAAGGGAGCAGGCTCCCTCCAGATCCAGCCACCTTTACAAAACTGCTTTGTAGGGTTAGACCACAGAGAATGACTTCTCCAATCTGGGACAATCAGAGTCCCTTCCCTAGAAAACTAAAACTGGAATGGAGTGGATCCTTCCAAGACTCAGGATATATAAAATGTGAATTCCAGAGTGATAGCCACTTCAGCCAGGCTGGTGCATACCGTCCCACAAGAGCCAATTGTTACATTTTTGAGAATTTTGTGTCAGTTGTCAAACTTAGCAATTATTAAAAATCAAATGAGTTTACTTGTAATCAAATAAATCATATTATAAACGAAGTTAATAAATACACAGAACCTAATTCTTATTTTACTACATTTTTACTCTTATGCTCTTGGAGTTATTTATGACTGTTGTATCTTTGTGGTGGAAATACTATAAAATGGTGGCTCCTGCAGACCTCTTACCAGTTCCAGGCTTGAGGACCCCACCTTGGCAACTGGAAATCAACCACAGTGACTGTATTAGTCAGGGTTCTCCAGAGAAACAGAGCCGCTAGGATATATAGGTATTTATCAGAAGAGATTTATTATGGGAATTGGCTCACGCAATTATGGAAGCTGTGAAGTCCCACAATCCTGCCTTCTGCAAGCTGAAGAACCTGGAAAGCCAGGGGCATAATTCAGTTGGAGTCTGGGGGCCTGAGAATAGGAAGGTGGGAGGTTGAGCTGGCTGGGCTAGCATAAGTCCCAGAGTCTGAAGGCCCAAGAACCAGGAATTCTGATGTCCAAGGGGAGTAAAAGGCGATGTCCAGCTCAAGAAGAGAGAGACAGGCCAGGCATGGTGGCTCATGCCTGTAATCCCAACATTTTGGGAGGCCGAGGCTCAGTTGAGGCCAGGTGTTCAAGACCAGCCTGGGCAACATAGCAAGACCCCATCTCTACAAAAAATAAAATTAATAAATAAATAAAAGAGAGATAGAATCCACCCTTCTTCTTCTCTCCTGGCCCTCAACAAATTGGATGATGCCCACGCATTACTCAGTCCACCAACTCAAATGCTAATATCTTCCAGAAACATGTTCGCAAACACACCCAGAAATAATGTTTTACCGGGGATCTGGGTGGGCATCCCTTAGGCCCGTCAAGTTGACACAGAAAGTTAACCATCACACTGGGAGTATTTACACCACAGAAATTGGCAAACTGTTGATCTATTGTTTTGTTGGGTGTCTAAACTTTAAAGTTTATGGAGAAAATGTTCACAATACAGATCAGGGTTTTTCAGCCTTGGGCCCCGTAGTTCCTTACTGAGGGATGCTTCTGGCCTCATGTCATTAGACACCAATCACATCCCTTCCCTAGTTGTGACAACCAAAAAAAAAAAATCTCTGGATCGCCAAATGTCCTTTGAGAAACCAAATCTCTCTCTAGTGGAGAACCACTGATAAAAATTAAATTTATTTATGTATTTATTGAAACAGAGTTTCCCTCTGTCACCCAGGCTACAGTGCAGTGGCACAATCTCGGCTCACTGCAACCTCCACCTCCTGGGCTCAAGCGATTCTCCTGCCTCAGCCTCCCGAGTAGATGGGACTGCAGGCATGCGCCACCACACCCAGCTAATTTTTGTATTTTTAGTAGAGATGGGGTTTCACCATGTTGGCCAGGCTGGTGTTGAATTCCTTGCCTCAAGTGATCTGTCAGCCTTGGCCTCCCAAAGAAAAATTAAATGTAAAAGTGTTGTGTCTGTAACCATTACTTAGTAAATAGGACAAAAAAATTGAGGAAATAGTCTTCTAGTATTTGAAAACTATCATCTGATTCAATTGAGTCTCTCCTGTCATTGACAAACAAGTGAAGTTCTGACATACATCTTCGTTGTTCACTTTTGTCTTATTCATTGATTGAAGCCAAAATATCAGCCAGCGTTCATGTCAGACAGAGCTGGACATGTTCATCAATTATAGCCATAGGTTGGCTAGGAATGCTGGAGTGTTGCAAAAATCAATGAAAGCATTCTGGGAGAATCAATGGGCTATATGGAATTTACAATAAAGATTATTGTACAGTTTATTATTATTTATAAATTGTGTCCTCTGCATGCTTTATGTCAGTAAAAATTATATGAATATATGTGCACACCTTTTTTTCCCCCAAGAGGCGATATTTTAAATATTTCCAGCACAGCACTGACCATGATCCACCTCCCATGTTGGATGATTACCAGAAAATTGTTTAGCAAAGAAACTTGGAATATCAAGAAAAAAGAGTGAAATAGAGTTGCAAGAAGACACATGAAGAGTAAACCGTGAAGAATAATCCCTGCTCCCCCACCCCCAGATCTCCAATTCTCTACTCTGGTTCTTCCTAGAGTCTGGCTTGTATCCCTGTCCCAAAAAATACCACTGAAGCCTACTACCATATTTTGGCATTTTTAAGGTGCTCTCTTTTTTTTTACATTTCAATGTTTCTGAATTCAGGATGCACCTTACAACCAATATGTTACAACCACCACAGTGAGGACTATGATGTTCTCTCCAGATATTCTCTTCAGGCCAACCCACCTGTCCCTCATCTGCAGGGAACAAGGGTTGCTGAGGGCACACAGCTACACCCTGCACTGGCATGACCCCAGGCGACAGGGACCAGTCTCGGCCACAGGGACCAGTCTCAGCTGCAGGGACCCACCTCAGCCAGGGTTACCACTGCTTCAAGGGGCATCCCAAACCAATGACTGATGTAGAGATTCAAAAGCCCAACTCCATTGCCTCAACTCAACTCTAAAGGGTCATTCTATCTAGCTCCAGAGCTTGCCCCAGGAGCATGACAGAAGGTCTCAGCTGCAACTTCTTTGCAGTCCAGCTTCTCCCTCTGCCAAACCCAGCCTTCCTCATTTCCTTACAGATGCATCTCCAAGAGGATTCCCAAAGAAACAGAACCATTTGCTCACAAAGTAAAGAAATGTTTTGTTCTGGACTCATGGGTATACGCTTATCCGTTTGGTAGGGAATTTTAAATTGGTATTCTAGTTTTTACATCAGTTATTTTTGTGGATATCGTTAATGAGAGTTGCTCCCTGGCCTGGTCCAAGTCTGGTAACACCAACAGAATTGAATTTAAGAGTGTTAAAATTTGAACCGGGCGCAGTAGCTCATGCCCATAATCCCAGTACTTTGGGAGGCCCAGGTGGGCGGATCACCTGAGGTCAGGAGTTCAAGACCAGCCTGGCCAACATGGTAAAGCCCAGTCTCTACTAAAAATACAAAAATTAGCCAGGTGTGGTGATGGGCACCTGTAATCTCAGCTACTTGGGAGGCTGAGGCAGGATAATGGCTTGAACCCAGGAGGTGGAGGTTGCAGTGAGCGGAGATCACACCATTGCACTCCAGCTTGGGTGACAAGAGTGAAACTCCATCTCAAAAAAAAAAACAAAAAAGAATGTTAAAAGTTGAGAAGATCTTGGATCCTGGTAGATCTGCAAATATCAGTCAGCCCTGTGATGCCCAGGCTGAGACTGACACCAGCTGACAACCACCAGTGCCATCTTCTTTTCTTGAACATTCACAGTAATCGGATGGGGGGGCAGCCCATATACCATAGCCAGTGCCCTTTTCTTGTTCCATGCCATTTCTTGTCTGCTGTTATCTGTCCTTCTATTCTCTTTCTCCCAAATCTTTTATACTGTTTTATTAGTGGTATATTCGAAATAAAATGAATTAAAGAGGGAGGTCAAGAGAAAAAGAGAAAAAATTCAAGATTAGATTAAGAAAGGAGGCTAGGCACCACGGCTCACGCCTCTAATCCCAGCACTTTGGGAGGCCGAGATGGGCAGATCACTTAAGGTCAGAAGATCGAGACCATCCTGGCCAACATGGTGAAACCACATCTCTACTAAAAATACAAAAATTAGCTGGTGTGGTGGCACGTACCTGTAATCCCAGCTACTCGGGAGGCTGAGGCAGGAGAATCACTTGAACCCAGGAGGCGGAGGTTGCAGTGAGCTGAGATCACGCCACTACACTCCAGCCTGGGTGACAGAGTGAGACTCTGTTTCAAAAAAAAAAAAAAAAAAAAAGAAGAAGAAGAAGAAGTAACCAAGAATGCAAAAGTGCTTGAAGGAAATGTGAGAAATACTGCCTGCAACTCACTGGCAATAAACTTGAAAACCTAGAAGAAATGGATGATTTCTTAGCAAAAATCTAAGTTACCACAATTAACCAAGAAAGAGTAGAAAACTTTAATAAGCAAATGGAACACAGAGAAAGCAAAGTGATTGTAGACCCCACTTATAAAGGCGCCAGATCCAGATGTTTTCCTATTGAGATCTATGCAGCCTTTGAAGAAGAAATACTCTAACATGATTTGAGCAAGTTATTCTCAAACTTTTTGGTCTCAGAACCCCTTTCCATTTTTAAAAATTCTTGAGGACCCCCAAAAAGCTTTGTGTGGGTTATAGCTCTTGATATTTGTCATACTAGAAATAAAAACAGAAATTTTAAAAAATTAATTCACTTAAAATCATATAATGAACACTTTATATATTAATACAAACAACATGTTTTTGTCAAAAGCAATTATAGTTTCAAAAAATTTAATGAGAAAAGTAGCATTATTTTACACTGTTGCAAACTTCCTTAATGTCTAGCTTAGTGGAAGAACACAGGATTCTCCTATCTACTTCTCCATTCGATCTATTGCAGTATATTATATTGGTTGAAGCATATAAGGAAAATCTAGCCTCACAGAGATACATAGTTGGAACAGGGAAAAGTATCTTAATTCTCATGGAAATTCTTCTTTGATATTACCTCCAACTTTGAGTAGCAGTCGTTTTTTAAGAGTTAGTTGCAACGTGGAATCTGAAACATTAAAATTCACTGGTCTATCTTGAATTTTGGATGGATCTTTTACTCATACGTGATTTTGTAGCAGAATCCATTGGTCATTTGGAAAGTATAAGCTCAGTGATGTATACAGATCTTCCAAATGTTGACACATTTTATTACACAGTATTTTAAAAATCACATTCATTAATACCACCTCCTCCCTCTCATCAGAAAAAAAGTCTTTTTTGTTGTTTTGTTTTGAGACAGAGTCTTGCTCTGTCGTCAGGCTGGAGTGATCTCGGCTCATGGCAACCTCTGCCCTTCAGGATCAAGCGATTCTCCTCCCTCAGCCTCCCAAGTAGCTGGCATTACAGGTGTGTGCCATCACGCCCGGCTAATTTTTGTATTTTTAGTAGAGACAGGGTTTCACCATGTTGGCCAGACTGGTTTTGAACTCCTGACCTCAAGTGATCCACCTGCCTCGGCCTCCCAAAGTGCCAGGATTACAGGCGTGAGCCACCACACCTGGCCAGAAAAGCCTTTTAATCCCTGGGCAGACATCAAGCTCATGGTGACAGGTGCAACTTTCCAAAATGCTAATTTTTACTGAAAGCTCACTTTTATCACTAGCAACAAATATTGTCTGGTGTTTTCCTCAAATGACAGGCTCACTTTGTTCATTTGCAAAAAAATGTCCACCAGAGAGTATAAATTAGTTCAACCATTGTGGAAAACAGCGTGGCGATTCTTCAAGGATCTAGAACTAGAAATACCATTTGACCCGGCAATCCCATTACTGGGTATATACCCAAAGGATTATAAATCATTCTACAATAAAGACACATGCACATGTATGTTTATTGCAGCACTATTCACAATAGCAGAGACTTGGAACCAACCCAAATGTCCATCAGTGATAGACTGGATTAAGAAAATGTGGCACATATACACCACGGAATGCTATGCAGCCATAAGAAAGGATGAGTTCACGTCCTTTGCAGGGACATGGATGAAACTGGAAACCCTCATTCTCAGCAAGCTATCACAAGATCAGAAAACCAAACACCACATGTTCTCACTCATAAGTGGGAGTTGAACAATGAGAACACATGGACACAGGGAGGGGAACATTACACACCGGGGCCTGCAGGGGGTGGAGGGCTAGGGGAGGAGAAATACCTAATGTAAGTGATGGGTTGATGGGTGCAGCAAACCACCATGGCATGCGTATACCTATGTCACAAACCTGCACGTTCTACACACGTATCCCAGAACTTAAAGTATAAAAAAAAAAGAAAAAAATCACACACACACACACACAAGTGAGATGTCATAAAAAGAAAAAAAATGTCCACCAGATACCCAACTCTGAAGAACCATAGTTTGTCTATTGCTTATTCTTTCTAGTAAAAGAAATATTCCATGGGGAAAAAAAGCTAGTTCAGTTTGCATTTCAATTGCACAATGCTTTTTCTAAAGCCAACCATCATACTTCTGTATGCAGCAGGTTGCTTTCTGTGTACTTCCTGTTTCATCACACAGAATATTAAAAAGATGCTTATTCAAGTGTCAAGATTTAATAAAATTAATAATTTCTACTGCTTTATTGAAAATATGTTTAAGTGAAACTGGCCTTTTTTTTTAATTTTTCTTTCATGGGTATATGGCAGTGAAGACTATGACGGCTGGTAAGGTTTCATGCTGGTGTTTTGGTTCATGCTAATGTTACCAGCACACTGACTGTTGTTTTTGTACCTCCAGTGCAAATGTCAACATAGTGAAAAGGGCACATAATGTTAGCGTTATTGTAAAAATAGCTTTGACCTCACCAATCCCCTCAATGGACCGCACTTTTGAGAACTGCCGCTCTAAAATTATTCTAGACTACAGAAAAATTTGGAAAGCTCTCCAGGGCATTTTATGAAGCCATGATAAACTTCATACTGAAGCCTGAAAAAGGACCAATGGAAAAACATATATACATTCTCATTGCATTTATGAACATAGATTGAAAACTTGTGCCTAAAATATTAGCAAATAGAATTTAGCAGTGCATTAAAAAACACACTATGGGCCAGGCAAAGTGGCTCAGGCCTGTAATCCCAGCACTTTGGGAGGCCAAGACAGGCGAATCACAAGGTCAGGAGATTGAGACCCTCCTGGCTAACATGGTGAAACCTCGTCTCTACTAAAAATACAAAAAATTACCTGGGCTTGGTGGCATGCGCCTGTGGTCCCAGTTACTTGGGAGGCAGAGGCAGGAGAATCACTTGAACCCGGGAGGCAGAGGTTGCAGTGGGCCAAGATCCTGCCACTGCACTCCAGCCTGGGCAACAGAGCTAGACTCTATCTCGAAACACACACACACACACACACATCCGCACACACTATGACTAAGTAGGGTTTATTCCAAGGAAATGTACCTAAATAATTAACTACATCAACAAATTGCAAGAGGAAAAATAAAGAATTATATTTTTAAAAAACCCTGAGAAGGCATTTAATACAATGTAGGGGTCATTACTAACAATAATAATAATAATAAAAAACTCTGAGTAAAATAAATATAGGGAAATTATTTAAATATGATAAGATTACTTAATAATATTCAATAGTAGACACGATTCTAAATGGTGAAATACTAAAACAATAAGATGTGGATCATCACTGTCATCATAATAATTCAATCTTGTTTTAGATGTTCTGTGAGAGAAATAAGAAAAAATTAAGAGTAAATATAAATATTGGAAAAACGGAGATAACGTTATTGCATTCTGCCAATGATTCAATCATTTTCCAAGAAAACCCTACAAGCCATTGACTTTTTAAAAACTAGAATTAACAAGGAAATGTAATATAGCTAAATTCAAAATAAGTTTAAAATTGATGTTTTTTCTGTGCATGCAATAATGAGATAGAAGTGGAAATAGGAAAATGTTACATTTAAAAAGTACAAAATCTTAGAAATAAAGAACAAAAAAGTCCAGATTCCATGGGGAAAGGTTTATAAAATGTTATTGAAGGATATAAAGCAACACCCAGATAAAGGAATGACAAAATATGTTACTAGCTAAGGAGGCAAAATAACATAAAATCAATTTTCCAAAAAGTAATATAGAGAGTCCATGTTTCAGTTATAATTCCTTTTTTTTTTTTTCTTCAAGATGGACTCTCACTGTCACCCAGGCTGGAGTACAGTGGCATAATCTCGGCCCACTGCAACCTTCGCCTCCCAGGTTCAAGCGATTCTCCTCCCTCAGCCTCCCGAGTAGCTGGAATTACAGGCACCCACCAGCATGCCCAGCTAATTTTTGTATTTTTAGTAGAGACGAGGTTTTGCTATGTTGGCCAGGCTGGTCTTGAGCTCCTGACCTCAAGTGATCCGCCCTCCTCGGCCTCTCAAAGTGCTGGGATTACAGGCATAAGCCGCTGCACACAGCCTACATGAGGAAAGATTTATAAAGTGTCATTGAAGGATATAAAGCAACACCCAAATAAAGGAATAGCAAAATATGCTATTGGCTAAGGAGGTAAAATAACATAAAGTCAAATGTCCAAAAAGTAATATAGAGAGTCCATGTTTCACTTATAATTCTTATGGTACAGGGTTTTGTAATAGAAGAAACTGGTCTTCAAGATCATATGGAAGTATAAATTTCCAATAATAGTCATAAAAATCATGGAAAAGCATAGTGAGTTTTTGCTTCTGAGCTAGAAGGCTAACTGCCATAAGAACTGCTCTCCTACCATAAACAACTACAAAAAAAAACAGACAAAATATATAAAACAACTATTTCTCACACATTTGATAACCAGCAGTAAAGAGCTTCTCTTCTCTTCATGGAGAGAAGAGAAAACACATAAAGTGAGCCCTACCTCATGGATTCCTGGATTCTTGGAATTCTGGAGGCAGTTTCCAGGATACAGCACAGGAAGGAGAAACCCCAACAGAACCCACTTGCCTCACTGAGTAGAGGAAAAAGAAATTGCGGTTCTGGGAGATTGAAGAGGTGAAATCCATGGAGCAGAATACTGGAAAGGAGAGAGAGGCACTGGAAAGAAAGAGAGAAAGAGAGAAAGGAAGGAAGAAAGAAAGGAAGGAAGGAAGGGAGGGAGGGAAGGAGGGAAGGAGGGATGAGAGAGAGAGAGGAAGGAAAGAAGGAATGAAGGAAGGAAGGAAGGGAAAGAAAAGAATGCAGAGAATGCATTCTCTAGACAATAAATGATAAATATAGTGTTTTATGTTTAATGTGAATACACATAAACGTAATTAAGAGAGAGATGGAAGAAAACAAAACCCAAATGGAACCTCTAGAGATGAAAAACACAATATCTGAAATAAAGAATACTCTGGACAGCATTAACAGCAGATAAGGCACAGCAGAAGAAAATACTGGTGAACTTGGAGACAGTAAAAATGATTCGAAGAAAGAGAGAGAGATTTTTTTAACGTGAAGCCAGCATCAGTGACCCATGGCATAGTATCAAGCAGTTTAACGTGTCTGTAATGGAGCCCAGAAAGGTTATAGGTCTGGAGATATGTCAAGAATTAATGGCCAAATATTTCTCAAGTTTGATGGAAACTAGAAGACACTCAGATCCCAAAAGTTCATGGACCCCGGCAGAAAACTGCACCAAGGTAGATCACAGTCAAATTTCTGAGAAGCAGCGACTAAAGAACATGTGTTAAAAGCTGCTCACAAAAATTATTACATAAAGAAAAAAAAAGAAAAGAATGACTACACATTTCCTATCAGAAACCACGCAGGCCAGAGGACAAAGAAGTGACATTTTTTAAGTATTAGGGGACAAAAACTGTCAACCTAGGATTCTATACTCTGCAAAAATATCAAAAATGAAAGTAAACTGAAGGTTTTTTTCAGACAAAGGTTGAGAGAATTCATCACCAGTAAACCTGTACTATAAAGAGTATCAAAGAAAGTTCTTCAGTCTGAAGAAAAATCATGCAAAATAAAAAGGAAAGAAAAATGTAGAATTGCTAAACATCTGGATAAATATGAAAGGCTTCTCATTTTTAATATATTTTTTAAAAGTAATTGACTATTTAAATCAATAATTGCATTAAGAGGCTGGGCACAGTGGCTCAAGCCTGTAATCCCAGCACTTTGGGAGGCCAAGGCAGGCGGATCACCTGAGGTCAGGAATTCAAGACCAGCCTGGTCAACATGGCAAAACCGCGTCTCTACTAAAAATACAAAAATTAGCTGGGCGTGGTGACACACGCCTGTAATCCCAGCTACTCGGGAGGCTGAGGCAGGAGAATCGCTTGAGCCTGGGAGGCAGAGATTGCAGTGAGCTGAGATTGTGCCACTGCACTCCAGCCTGAGTGACCGAGTGAGACTCCGTCTCAAAAAAAATACATAAAATAATGATAATAATAATTGCATTAAGTGCAAATTGACTAAACAGTACAATTGAAAGGCAGAAATTATTAGACTGGATTTTCAAAAACAAATCAACTGTATGTTGTCTCATTGGTTTTTTGAAACAGAGTCTTGCTCTGTCGCCCAGGCTGTAGTACAGTGGCACGATCCAGGCTCACTGCAAGAATCTCACTTTAAATATAAAGTTAGAGGTAAAGGATGGGAAATGATATTCCCATGCAACCATTAATAAAAAGAAATGAAACTACCTGTCTTAGTCTGGTTGAGTTGCCGTAAAAAATATCTTAGGCTGGGTGATTTATAAACAATAGTTTATAGTTCTGACGCTGGGAAGCCCAAGATCAAGATGCCAGCAGATTTGGTGTCTGGTGAGAGCCTGTTCCTCATAGATGACAGCTTCGTGCTGTGTCCTCACATGGCAAAAGGGGTAAGCCTGGCCTCTTTTATAAGGGTCAAGCCTTTTATGAAGGCACTGATCCTATTCGTGAGGGCAGAGTTCTTTCAAAAAAAAAATCACCTCCCAAAGCCCCCACTTATTAATACCATCACTTTGGGGGTTAAGTTTCAACATATGAATTTTGAGAGACTACAAACATTCAGATCATAGCAGTGACTATGTTAATTAGACAAAGCAAAATTCTGAATAAGGAACATTAATAGGGAGAAAGAAGAACATTTCATAATGATAAAAATGTCACTGCACCAAGAGGACATCACAATCTCAAATGAGTATTAACATAGCGTCAAAATGCATGAAGCAAAAGATGTTAGATCTCAAAGGACAAGTAAACAAGTCTACACTTATAGGTGGAGATTTCCACACATCACTATCAGTAATTGAGAGAACAAGTGGACAGAAAATCAGCAAGGATATATAAGACTTGTACATTATCAATTAGCATGACCCAATTGAAATTTATATAACATTCTGCCCCAAACATCAGAATACATACTCTTTTTAAAGTCCATTTGGAACATGCACTAAGATCATATTCTGAAGCATTAAACAATTCTCAATAAATTTCAAATAATTAAAAATATACGGTGTATGTTCTTTGACAACAATGAATTAAACTAGAAATAGCAGAAAAATATCTAGAAAACTCCAGTATTTGGAAATTAAACAGTACGGTTACAAATAATCCATAGGATCAAAAAAGTAATCACAAGGGAAATTAGCAAGTTTCATTTTTTTAGACAGGGTCTTGCTGTCACCCAGGCTGGAGTGCAGTGGCATGATCATGGCTTGCTGCAGCCTCCACCTCCTGAGCTCAAGTGATCCTCACACCTTAGTCCCCAAAATAGCTTGTGCCATGGTCATGTGCCACCACACTCGGCTCATTTTGTTTTTATTTTTTGTAGAGATAGGGTTTCGTCACATTGCCCAGGCTGGAAATTAGTAAGTATTTTGAACTAAGCTAAGCACAGTAGTACACACTTGTCCCAGCTACTCGGGAGACAGAGGTGGGAGAACCACTTGAACCTGCGAGGCGGAGGTTTCAGTGAGCTGAGAGTGCACCACTGTACTCCAGCCTGGGCAACAGAGAGAGATTCTGTCTCAAACAAACAAACAAGCAAACAAACAAAACCCTGTGGGGTGGAAATAGAAATCTCCAAGTCCTGAGAGTTTCACTGGAGACTTATCATATATTTAAAGTAGTAACACCAATTTTGCAGTTCTTCCAGAAAATATAAGAGGGAGTACTTCCCAACTAATTTTTATGAGGCCAGTTTCCCAGAAACCAAAACCTAACAAACACATTACAGAAAAATAAAACTATAGACCAATATCACTTATGAACTTAGACACAAAATTCCTCAACCGAATATTAGCAACTTGAATCCAACAATGTATAAAAATCATTATACACCATGAAAAGGTAGGATTTTTTTCTTTCCATAGCTTTTGGAGTACAAGTGGTTTTGGTTACACAGATGAATTGTAGAGTGGTGAAGTCTAAGATTTTAGTGTGCCTGTCACCCAAGTCCTGTACATTGTACTGAATATGCAGTTTTTTATCCCCCACCGCCCTCCCACCCTCCTTCCTTCTGAATCTCTAAAGTCTATTATACCAGTGTGCATGACTTTGCATACCCATAGCTTAGCTCCCACTTACAAGTGAGAATATACTGTGTTTGATTTTCCATTCCTGAGTTACTTCTCTTGGAACAATGGCCTTCAGCTTCATCCAGGTTGCTGAAAAGACATTATTTCACTTTTTTACAGCTGAGTAGATTCTATGGTGTATATATACCACATTTTCTTTACCCACTCATCGGTTGATTGGCACTTTGGTTGATTCCATATCTTTGCAATTGTGAATTGTGCTGTGATAAATATATATATGCAGGTGTCTTCTTGATAGAATGACTTCTTTTCCTTTGGGTAGATACCCAGTAGCCAGATTGCTGGATCAAATGGTAGATCTACTTTTGTTCCTTAAGAAGTCTCCATACCACTTTCCATAGAGGTTGTACTAACTTACATTCCCACCTTCCTTTTTTAGCATGTCTGTGCCAACATCTATTGTTTCCTGACTTTGGTTTTTTTTTTTTTTTTTTTTTTTTTGAGTCAGAGTGTCGCTCTTGTTGCCCAGGCCGGAGTGCAGTGGTGCAATCTCAGCTCACTGCAACCTCCGCCTCCTGGGTTCAAGTGATTCTCTTGCCTCAACCTCCCGAGTAGCTGGGATTATAGGCGCCCGCCACCACATCCGGCTAATTTCTTGTATTTTTAGTAGAGATGGGGTTTCGCCATGTTGGGCAGGCTGGTCTCGAACTCCTGACATCAGGTGATCTGCCCACCTCAGCCTCCCAAAGTGCTGGGATTACAGGCTTGAGCCACTGCACCTGGCCTGTTTTCTGACTTTTTAATAATGGTGGTCTGGCTGGGGTAAGGTGGTATCTCTTTGTGATTTTAATTTGCATTTCCCTAATGATTAGTAATGTTGAGCATTTCTTCATATATTTGCTGGCCATTTGTATATCTTCTTTTGAGAAATGTCTATTCATGTCATTTGCCTACTTTTTGATGGGATTATTTATTTTTCTGGCTGGTTTGTTTGAGTTCCTTGTAGATTCTGGATATTAGCCCTTTGTTGGATGCATCGTTTGCAAATATTTTCTCCCATTCTGTGGGTTGTCTGTTTACTCTGATGATTATTTCTTTTGGCATGCAAAAGCTTCTTCAATACAGTCCTATTTATTTATTTATTTATTGCATTTGCTTTTGGGGCCTTAGTCACAAATTATTTTCCTAGGCCAATGTCCAGAAGGGGTTTTCCTAGGTTTTCTTCTAGAATTTTTATAGTTTCAGGTCTTAAAGTCTTTGATCCATCTCGAGTTGATTTTTTTATATGGTGAGAGACAGAGACCCGGTTTTATTCTTCTACATATGGCTATCCAGTTTTCCCAGCACCTTTTATTGAATAGGTTGTCCTTTCCCCAATTTATGTTTTTGTATGCTTTGTTAAAGACCAGTTGGTTGTAAGTATTTGGCTTTACTTCTGATTTCTCCACTCTGTTCCATTGGTCTATGTATCTACTTTCATACCAGTACCATGCCATTTTGTTTAATATAGCCTTGT
Source organism: Homo sapiens (assembly GCF_000001405.40). Lineage (NCBI taxonomy): Eukaryota > Metazoa > Chordata > Mammalia > Primates > Hominidae > Homo > Homo sapiens. The sequence continues at coordinate 13,569,555 of NC_000010.11, read as the reverse complement.
AGTATAATTTGAAATCAGGTAATGTGATGCTTTCAGATTTGTTCTTTTTGCTTAGAATTGCTTTGGTTATTCAAGGACATAAAGTAGAACTTGTTCCAGATATGCAAGAGTGGCTCAACAAACAAAAATTGATTAATTAAAAATTTATCAATGTAATCCACTGTATCAACTGGCTAACAAAAAAAAATCATGTGACCATCTTAGTTGACACACACACAAAAAGCATTTGACAAAATCCAACACTCATTCATGATAAAAACTTGCAGCAAAGTAGGAAAGAGCATTTACCAAAAACCTACAGTCACCATCATATGTAATGGTGAAAGACTGAATGTTTCCTTGTTGGGTTGGAGAAACAACCCAAATATACATGTCAACTAATGAATGGATAAATGCACCATAGTATCATTCATTCAAAGGAACTGTATTCTGAAATAAAGAAGGAATGAACAGCTGATATATGCAACAACCTGGAAAGTCCCAAAACAGTATGTTAAGTGAAGTATTCCAGACACAGAATACTATATACTACATGATTCCGTTTATATGAAATTTCAGGAGCATTAAAAATATAGTGATAGAAAGATTAGTGACTGCCAGGAGCTGGGGCTTGGGCTGGGAATTGACTGCAGAGGGTCACGAAGGAGCATTTTTTGGAGGAGGAGGGAAATGGAAATATTCTATATCATAGTGGTTAAAAAGACACATGCACCCCCTCCCTAAACATCTTATCCTCTGATATATTCCATACTCTTCCTATTGTATCCACTCTTTAGCATCCTCTGCCACTGCATCCTTCTGTGTTAGCCATCACATCCAAAATATACAATCTTCACAGGTTTGCATCAAAAAGAGCACCACTGGCCGGGCGCAGTGGCTCAAGCCTGTAATCCCAGCACTTTGGGAGGCCGAGGTGGGTGGATCACCTGAGGTCAGGAGTTCGAGACCAGCCTGACTAGTATGGTGAAACCCCGTCTCTACTAAAAATGCAAAAATTAGCTGGGCATGGTGGTGTGCGCCTGTATTCCCAGCTACTCAGGAGGCTGAGACAGGAGAATTGCTTGAACCCAGGAGGCAGAGGTTGCAGTGAGCTGAGATCGTCCCACTGCACTCCAGCCTGGGTGACAGAGACTCCATCTCAAAAAAAAAAAGCACTGTTTATAACTACTTATAACTACAGCTGCTACAATTGACAGCACGTTCCAAAAGGAGGGACAGAACATTGAGAACATTGCAAGTGGCAGTAGTAATGGCCATGGGAAAAGCTGGCTATGAATGTCCCCCACGTGTTAGAAATATCTATCAAGACACCGTTAAAGACCACATTTCACCCAGTTTAACGTGACTTTTTTTTTCAGTTTTAACTTCTCTGAAAAGGGGACATATTTTTTCAGTTGATGACATCACGCAGTTATAATTGAGAATGTTTATTTTTCCTTCTTAGTGGTGAATTTTTTTAATGGTGCACTTTTTTTTAAATTATACTTTAATTTCTGGGGTACATATGCAGAATGTGCAGGTTTGTTATACAGGTATACACGTGCCATGGTGGTTTGCTGCTCCCATCAACCTGTCATCCACATTAGGTATTTCTCCTAATGCTATCCCTCCCCCAGCCCCCCACCCTCCGACAGGCCCCAGTGTGTGACGTTCCCCTCCTTGTATCTATGTGTTCTCAATGCTCAACTCCCACTTATGAGTGAGAACATGCAGTGTTTGGTTTTCTGTCCCTGTGTTAGTTTGCTGAGAATAATGGTTTCCAACTTCATCTATGTCCCTGCAAAGGACATGAACTCATCATTTTTTACAGCTGCATAGTATTCCATGGTATACATGTGCCACATTTTCTTTATCCAGTCTATCACTGATGGGCATTTGGGTTGGTTCCAAGTCTTTGCTATTGTGAACAGGGTGCACTTTTTTTATACCAGAGCAATTACATCAGAATCTCTGAATGAATGGCTGTCATAGAGTCAATAAAATATAGGATGGCTGGCCAGAAGACGCAGAGAATTTTGCTTTGGCTTTCAAGGGTAAGAAAGCAGAGGTGAGAGTCAAGGCAGAACTGGAAGCCTGGAACCCAAGTCCTGGATCTCCATGTTATGTTTGAAATTAATAGCCCCTTTCCCACCTATTCTTATCTCCAGTTAGGGCTGAAGAGGTGTGTTGCCAAGTGGTGCCAACAGCCTTTGGAATAAGAAGTCACAAATAGAGCTGAAAGAGATGGTGGAAGGGTAAGGGAACAAGAGCAGGTCCACTCAGCCACAAGTGGCAGCACAAACAGAAGCAACCAATTGATGGGCTTGGGCTTGGCTGGCTTAGGAAGAGTATGGCTGGCTAGTTGCATTATGAAATTGAGTAACTTGCCACAGGGCTCTTATGAAATCAGGAACTTGCTGCAGTGTTATAAATGGGACAGGGCCTCAGTACTATAATTACTTAATCTTTCTGTACTTCAGTTTCTTCATCTGCAGAATGGGAAATAACAGCAGTACCTGTGTAAGAGAATTAGCGTGTTGATTAAAATGAGATGCATGTAGTGGGCTAAAACAGTGCCTGGCATATGGTAAATACTCAATAATTTTAGATATCATTATATTCATTTCTGTGTTTTTACAGTTCATCCATCCGTTCTTTCATTATTTCAACAAACATTTATTTAGCATTTACGATGCTAGGAGCTGAATAGTTCATCACATTTCGTTAATGTTTATGCCTTTTTAATCTCCTTAGAAACGACCAGTGCCAAATGCCAATTCCTTATAATTCTTACTTACCATCCTCAATATATTTTATTTCTGTTTCATCCTCCTACCACTGAAAAGATTAGTTAAAATAGGGCCAGAGTTTCTACTCTTTACAATAAAAAAAAGCTACTGATTCATCCTAGAAAATACCAGATTTTAGCATGCCAACAATGATCTAGAAAAACACACAAGACTGAAAAAAAGAGAAGTAGAAAATGGCTTTGTCACTTAAAGAGGTATAATATTAGGCCAGTCATTTGCAAAATAAAGATCATACTTTACTTAACCAACAGAGATTTTGAGGCAAAAAAAAAAAATGAGATAAAGTGTTTCTAAATGTATAAATTTAATATTATAAATAGACCCTAAATCAGGGTAAGTTTCTGCTATCAAACATAACATGATTTTCTTTTGATTGCTGAAGATGTTTAGTAATTTAATATATTTACATGGTAACTTTCTACTAAAGAACCCCCAAGGCTGGGGGCAGTGGCTCATGCCTATAGTGCCAGCACTTTGGAAGGCCAAGGCGGGTGGATCACAAGGTCTGGAGTTCAAGACCAGCCTGGCCAATGTGGTGAAACCCCGTCTCTACTAAAAATACAAAAATTAGCCAGGCATGGTGGCAGGCACCTGTAATCCCAGCCACTCGGAAGGCTGAGGCAGGAGAATTGCTTGAACCTGGGAGGCAGAGGTTGCAGTGAACCAAGATTGCGCCATTGCGCGACAGAGCAAGACTCCATCTCAGAAAAAAAAAAAAAAGAAAGAAAGAAAAAGAAAAGAACCCCCCAAATTTCAGTCTCAAAACTCTTCAGAGATAAGGGACAGAATGTTGAATGCCATGACGTCCTTTTTGTGTGATCCCACCATGATTTATTTGAACTTCTCTTATTATGTTTAATAGTCTACTTTATTTTATATATTTTTGTATTTATTTAAGCCATCTTTTGAATCCCATCTTTCTTGAAGGCAAGAGCTGTTACAGCCCCTCTAATGGCAGTCATTGGCTGATTGTCTCAGGTGCCCACCTTATAATCCTGCCTTGAAATGGCCCCGTAGCCCACCTTTCCACCTTCACCTCCACTGCACGCCTCCCCTCCAAACATTACACCCATTTTCTTTTTTTATTTTCAACTGTAACCACCACACACTTTATTTTTCTTCGTCATAGATCTCCATTTTCCATTCATCCCCATTCTTTCTAGTGTTTTATCCCCTGTATTTGTCTGTTCTTGCATCACTATAAAGAAATACCTGAGACTGGGTAATTTATGAGTAAAACAGGTTTAATTGGCTCATGGTTCTGCAGGCTGTACAGGAAGCATGATGCTGGCATCTGCTCGGCTTCTGGGGAGGCCTTGGGAAGCTTCCAATCAGGGTGGAAGGCAAAGGGGGAGCAGATGCGTCTTAAATGGCCGGAGCAGGAGCAGGGGATGGGGGTGGGTACCACACACTTTTAAACAACTAGATCTCACAAGAACTCGCTGACTATCATGAGGACAGTATCGAGGGGGATGGTGCTAAGGCATTCATGGGAAATCTGCCCCTATGGTACAGTCACCTCCTACCAGGCCCCACCTCCAACCCTGGGGATTACAATTCAACATGAGATTTGGTGGGGATGCAGATCCAAACTGACAGAGCAGGAGCACTGTCTTCTTGGAAAAACACTGCCATTTTAAGTTCTAGCTCCCTTTCTACCCTCATGCGTTTCAAGGAAATCACTTCTCTTCTAACAAGAAAAAGCCAGAAAGGGCAGATAGCAAAACACAGATAAGACAGCTCGGGCCCAGAAGGAGTGGGGGAAAGTCTCTTGGGTAACCACCAAACTTCACACTCATACAATGGGCCCCAGTAAAACAGTGGGCCCTAATAAGCACATTCCTTTTCCTTTAGGTGCACTAAGCTAGGAAAGCTAAAAGCAGACTCAGTGGGTATGCCTGTACCTGCAGGAAGATGTATGGGAACAGACACAAAACTCTCTCTCCCAGATAAGCAAGACAAAGAGACACAGAAACATTCCCAGCCTGTGATGCGCTCTCTTGACCTGACCTCTTAAAAACTCTTAGTCTGTAAGAGAGAGTGCTCCTGACCTAATTCGGCCAGAAGCCCCTCTCAGGTTTATTCTTTAACATAAACCTGTCTTTGACTGTTGAGCCACTTTTTGTGCTTCTTTCTTCCTTCTTCAACTCTTACACAGACCATATCATCCACCAACAGTTACCTGAACGACTTTACGGTTCTTCCTCTCCCTCCATGATCCTTCCCTGATGTTTCCACTTTCCCACTTTCTACCACCTCTTGGCTTCATTCCCTTGTCCTATCACTTGCCCAGCTTTCTTCTGAATTCCCATAGTGGGTATCAGCCCTGTTGAAAGATCTCTATTGCCTGTGGGAGGAAGCTGGGTGCTGAGGAGCAGTTTCTTGTCAGCTTTGGCAAAGTGGTCAGGTGAGAACTGGACCAGGTGAGGAGGAAGACCCACACGTGTCTTCCTCCTCTGGAAGAAGGAGGGTTAGCAGACAAGGAGGGTTAGCCACAGGCAGGCAATAGAGAATTTGGGCCATTGTCAAAATGCCAAACAGGCTGTGTGCAGTGACTCATGCCTGTGATCTCAATACTTTGGGAGACTGAAGCAAGAGGACTGCATGCGATCAGGAGTTCAAGACCAGCCTGGGCAACAGAGCGAGACTGCTTCTTTACAAAATACTTAAAAGTTAGCCAGGTGTAGTGATGCATGTCTGCAATCCCAGCTACTTGGAAGGCTGAGAGGGAGGATCACTTGAGCCCAGGGGGTCAAGGCTGCAGTGAACCGTGATTGCATCACCATGCTCTAGTCTAAGTGGCAAAGTGAGTCCTTGTCTCAAAAAAAAAAAAAAAAATCCAGGTGGAAGAGGTAATCCAAGAAGAATAGCCTGCAAGTTCATGGATCCAGCCAACAGGGGACATGTTAGAGTCAGTGACAGAGAGAGAGGAAACATAGGTTAAAAAATGCAGGCACCAGCCAGGCGCAGTGGCTCATGCCTGTCATCCCAGCACTTTGGGAGGCCGAGTTGGGCGGATCACAAGGTCAGGAAATAGAGACCATCCTGGCTAACACAGTGAAACCCTGTCTCTACTAAAAATACAAAAATTAACCAGGCGCAGTGGCAGGTGCCTGTAATCCCAGCTACTCAGGGGGCTGAGGCAGGAGAACCACTTGAACCCAGGGGGGCGGAGGTTGCAGTGAGCTGAGACCATGCTACTGCACTCCAGCCTGGGTGACAGAGTCAGATTCCGTCTCAAAAAAAATAAAAATAAAAATAAAAAATGCAGGCACCAGGCCAGGCGCAGTGGCTCACACCTGTAGTCCCAACACTTTGGGAGGCTGAGACAGGTGGATCACAAGGTCAGGAGTTCAAGATCAGCCTGGCCACAGGCTCCCAAAAGGGAGTATTCAGGGGAGATGGGCTCAGAGACCTGTTATCTATAAATTCGGTAATTATTACTGAACTTCCCACTTACCTGTTTGCTACGGTTTAGATGTTTGTTGCCCAAACTTCGTGTTGAAATTTGATTCCCAACATTGGAGGTGGGGCCTAATGGGAGGTGGTTGAGTCACGGGGGCGGATCCCTCATGAACGGCTTGGTGCATCCTCTCAGTAATGACAGAGCTCTCGCTCTATTAGTTCACACGACAGCTGGTTGTTAAAAAGTGTCTGGCACCTCCTTCTCTCTCCTGCTTTCTCTCTCACCGTGTGATCACCACATGCTGGCGCTGGCTCCCCTTCCCCTCCTGCAGTAAGTGGAAGCTTCCTGAGGCCTCACCAGAAGCAGATGCTGGCGCCATGCTTCTTATACAGCCTGGAGAACTGTGAGCCAAAAAAACTTGTCTTTATAAATTATCCAGAGTCAGGTGTTCCTTTATAGCAACATAAACGGACTAAGACACATTCATCTTTGCCATACAAAGAATGCTATGTTTCCGGCCTCATCTGAAAATCGTTGCACATTTACCTCAATAAATTCTGTAGCTGCATAAGAGTATCTAGATGCTGGATGATAGTGACATCTAAACTGTCCCAGGAGAGTCATGAATGCAGGCGGCATTTCAGAAAACATGTCAAGTTGTAACATAAAGGGTCTTTGTGCACAGTCCTGTCCTGACCTCCCCCAAATGGAGATACAGGATCCACTGAGAGGCCAGCACCCTTCTCCCTCAGCAGCAACTTGGTGAGGTTGAATGATGGCAAAATAGCTCTACTGATAACTCTTCCTGGGCCTCTTTACCATCATTCCGCAATTCTATAAGGTAGCAATATCACACCCGGAGCTGATGGAGACACGGCTTGGTCGAGTAACTTACCCACGATCACACAGCTATGAGCAGAACACCCAGAACTTCAAACCAGGTCTGTCCATGATTTTATCAACTAAGTTAATACTGCCTCAAGGTAGAGATGAAAAACAAGCAGTATTAAGGGGAAAAAACATGCCAGTTGTGGTAAGGGCTCGTTGATTTCAACAATGCTTAGGGCTTGCTGATTTTAACATTAGTTCCTATTGTAGCCCCCAGAGAAAGGGAAAATGAGTACAAAGTATGGGCACCTGGTGGCCGGGGAGGCAGCTGTGGCCCAGCTATGCTAGAAATCGACATAAATCCAATGCATAAGTTTCCAGTAAGTAGGTCTTCTTGGGCTGCCTGGAAAACAATGTTTTGCTATTTGTTTTTATTTTTTCATCAAGGGCCTCAACTGCCAAAGGCAGGTTTGGCTTGGCCCTTGATGAAAAAATAAAAACAAACAACATGACTTTCTCAAAATGGCTGTTTACCCTCCCTCAAGGTTCATTCCAGGACCTAGGATATATCAGGGCACCAATAAATTTATCAAAATGATCACTGAAATTAGAGGTAAAATTACTCTAAATAGGAAGTTAGAATCACAGAACCTTTAAAACTAATACAACCATATTATAGGAATTTAGCAAATGGAGAAAATAAAATCATACGTAATTCTATCACACAATTACTGTTACCACTTAATAAAATTAGGGCGCATATTTTATTTGCATGTGTATAGACTTTGTAATAATTGTGCACCTATTATTTTGCATCCTGTTTTTTCTTTTATTTAATCATATCACATCCACTTTCACATTTTGATTGACAGTCTTCATTGTGGCTTCTTTAGTTATGTAATATTTCATTAAGTGGACTATAACCAGAATTTATTTAAATCACTCCTGTGTTGCTGGATATTTAGGTCATTGCAAGCTTTTGCTATTATAAGTTATTCTGCAGTGAACATCTTTATGCAAATAGCATCTTATTTGCAATTTGCATGAAGTATTTTAGATTCATTACTTCTCATGTTCACTACTACCCTAGGCCAGGTCTTAAGCACGAAATGCCTCAATTAATGGATTAACATGTGAGACAGTGTACCCTGCGTCTTCTTTTTTTTTTTTTCTTCAAGATGGAGTCTTGCTCTGTCGCCCAGGCTGGAGTGCAGGGGCACGATCTCAGCTCACTGCAACCTCCACCTCCCAGTTTCAACGAATTCTCCTGCCTCAGCCTCCCGAGTAGCTGGGATTACAGGCATGCGCCATCACATTTGGCTTATTTTTTGTACTTTTAATAGAGATGAGTGTTCGCCACGTTGGCCAGGCTGGTCTCGAACTCCTAACTTCAAGTGGTCCACCTGCCTCGGCCTCCCAAAGTGCTGGGATTACAGGCGTGAGCCACTGCACCTGGCCCTGTTTCTGATTTGTCCCGCACAGCACTAGGAGATTAATCATCCCAAAATGCCACTTTCATCTTGTCACTTTTTTACTTAAGATATCCTTTATGCTTATCTCCCAATCTTCTGTGTGCTGTGATTTGATAACTATTCCCTAACCCTTGCAGACCAAAATGTGAAGCATGTTGGATCCCAGAAGCTCCCCATCAGGGACCAGGGAATGAACTGGAAACAGGGAGTCTGGAACCAACCCAGAAACAACATTGAGTCCCAGGATGCATGTCACAGTATCCACCAGAGCAAGAGAAACTTGGAAACAGTTCAAGTTGGATCCACCCAGGAGGTCTCTCTTGCTAAGTGAGGGCACAACTTCAACAGTCACTGAGTAATGGCAGCAACTTAGTCATGCAGAACCAGAATCAGAGTCCAAGAGAAGTCTATTCAAGTTGAAATAGAAGTAGAATGAATGGTATCAGACACTCTGGGGCACAGAAGCTGGCAAAAGCTACACAGAAAATCGCAATCTAGCCAAATGGGCCTAAGCTTGTGTCATGGCTCCAGAACTACCAGATTGCTAAAGCACAAACAAGGAACCAGGGCCGAAGCCTGGTTGTATAAGCTAGGGAAGGTCGCAGGCTGGAAGCCGCAAGCAGGCTCAGGTTGGAGGGAATCATCAATATTAAATGTCTGTCTTAGAGCCACAGACTAGGTCTACAGCTAGTGGGTCTGGGTTCTTAATCTGAGAAAAACCCAGAGTCTGCAAGAGACAGCCTGCTGAGGTAGGTGCCCACTATCTGTAGCAGGCAGAGACTGACATCCAGAATGACCCTCCAACCAAAAACAAAATAAATAAAACACATATCTTTTTGGTTGGAGCAATGACCATTCAACCAAAACCAAAATAAATAAAAACACATATCTATGTATATAGAATCAAATGCATATGTATGATACAGTCCACCAACCTGGTGGAATAAACTTTCGTTTTTAGCATTCCTTTCTTTTTGTTTGAAGACATTATTGTTAAAAGAAATATGGAGGTCCGGGTGCAGTGGCTCATGCCTGTAATCCCAGCACTTTGGGAGGCTGAGGTGGGCGAATCACCTGAGGTCAGGAGTTCGAGACCAGCCTGGCCAACATGGTGAAGCCCCATCTCAACTAAAAATACAAAAATTAGCTGGGAATGGTGGTGGGTGCCTGTAATCCCAGCTACTCAGGAGGCTGAGGCAGGAGAATTACTTGAACCCGGGAGGTGGAAGTTGCCGTGAGCCAAGATCACTCCACTGCATTCCAGCCCGGGCAACAAGAGCGAGACTCTGTCTCAAAAAAAAAAAAAAAAAAAAAAAGTAAAAGGTATATAGACCCTATCAACTTCACACAACAATACCTCAATGTTAATTATCTGCTTCTCTGTAAATTGAGGTTAGCTGAAAGCTGATTCAGGTTGAAGACAAGAAGGAGGCAAGAAGGATAGTAGAGCTAGTAGTAGACAATTAGCCATTGTATTAGTCAGGTTTCTCTGGGAACACACACACACACACACACACACAAACACACAGAGTCATGTGCAACATCATGGTGTTTCAGTCAACAGTGGACCACATACACAACAGTGGTCCCATAAGATTATAATGGAGCTGAAAATTTTCTATCACCAGATGACATTGTAGATGTCATAAGATCATGGAGCAATTACTATATTTTAAAAATAAACTTAGTGTAGCCTAAGGCTATGGGGCTTTTAAAGTCTGTGATAGTGTATAGTAACATTCTAGGCCTTCACATTCACCCACCACTCACTCACTGACTCACCCAGAGCAATTTCCAGTCCTGCAAGCACCATTCATGGTGTCTTATATAGTTATATCGTTTTTTATCTTTTATACCAGGTTTTTACTGTAGTTTTTATGTTTAGGTATGCTTAAGTACACAAATACCGTTGTGTTACAATTGCCTACAGTATTCAGTACAGTAAAATTCTGTACAGGTTTATCTCCTAGGAGCAATAGGCTATACCATCTAGTCTATGTATGTAATAGGCTATACTATCTTGGTATGTAAGTATATCTGTGATGTTTGCACAACCATGAAATGGCCTAATTACGCATTTTTCAGAATGTATCCCCATCATTAAGCAACACATGCATACACACACACTATGGAACAACTAGTTATGTCTATGGAATGCACTGAGTCTGTAGATCAAATTGGAAAGAAATGACAGCTTGACAATACTGAGTTTTCCTATCTTCATGCATGGAATATCTCTCCATTTATTTAGAGCTTCTTTGATTTCTTTCATCAGAGTTTTGTAGTTTTTCTTATAGATCTTACATATATTTTGTTAGATATATACCTAAGTATTTAACTTGTGAGTACTAGTGTAAATGGCTTTATGTATTTTATTTCAAATTCCATTTGTTCATTGCTGGTATATAAGAATGCAATTGACTTTTGCATATTAACCTTGTATCCTGCAACCTTACTATAATCACTTATTAGCCAGTTCTTGTTGATTCTTTGGTATTTCTATGTGGACAGTCATGTCATCTGCAAACAAAGACAGTTTTATTTCTCCCTTACCAACCTATACACTTTTTATGTCATTTTCTTGTCTTATTGCATTATCTAGGAGTTCCAGTACAATGTTGAATAGGAGTGGTGACAGCAGACGTCCTTGCCTTGTTCCTGATCTTAGTGGGAAAGCATCTAGTTTCTCACCATTAAGCATGATGCTAGCTCTAGGGATTTTTAAAATAGATATTCTTTATCAAGTTGAAGAAGTTCCCTTCTATTTCTAGTTGGTTGAAAGATTTTTCATAAATGAGTGTTGGATTTTGTCAAATTATTTTTCTGCATCTGCTGATAGGATCATGGGATTCTTCTTCAGCCTGCTAATGTGATAGATTACAGCGATCAGTTTTCAAATGTTGAACCAGCCTTGCAAACCTGAAACAAATCCCTCTTAGTCCTAGTGTATACTTTTTTATACATTGTTGAATTTGATTTGCTAATATTTTGTTGAGGAGGACTGGCATTTAAGCAGCAATAAAACGTATTATTTTATAACAATCCACATGGGTTTGTGCAAAACAATTTTTTGCATTCTCTGTATAGCAGAATGATTAAACAAGCATGTTCGTTAGGACTATGTATACAAGGATATAAAATAGTAGAGTTCTGTTTAAATGATATCTGACTGGGTGCAGTGGCTCACGCCTGTAATCCCAGCATTTTGGGAGGTCGAGGCAGGCAAATCACCTGAGGTCAAGAGTTCAAGACTAGCCTGGCCAACATGGTGAAACCCTGTCTCTACTAAAAATACAAAAAAATTAGCCGGGCGTGATGGGGCATGCCTGTAATCCCAGCTACTCGGGAGGCTGAGGCAGGAGAATTGCTTGAATCTGGGAGGTGGAGGTTGCAGTGAACCAAGACGGCGCCACTGCACTCACGCCTGGGCAACAAGAACGAAACTCCGGCTGGGCACGGTGGCTCACGCCTGTAATCCCAGCACTTTCGGAGGCCGAGGTGGGCGGATCACGAGGTCAAGAGATCGAGACCATCCCGGCTAACACGGTGAAACCCCGTCTCTACTAAAAATACAAAAAATTAGCCGGGTGTGGTGGCGGGCACTTGTAGTCCCAGCTACTTGGGAGGCTGAGGCAGGAAAATGGCATGAACCCAGGAGGCGGAGGTTGTGGTGAGCCGAGATCGCGCCGCTTCACTCCAGCCTGGGTGACAGAGCAAGACTCCGTCTCAAAAAAAAAAAAAAAAAAAAAGAACGAAACTCCATCTCGATAAATAAATAAAGATATATAAATATCTTTTGTATTTGTCCCCTCTCTCCAACTGCTGCTTTTTTTTCCAGTTATGATACCTTCCCTTTCACTTTCTACTTCTATGACTCACACAGTGATGTGATTTATGACAGCTCAGAGAGACTTCCAGTTTTTCATGGTAGATTAAACAGAAGCATTTTTATTTGCTCACTCCTGAAACCAAACAAAAATGATATTGAGTAATTAAAAAACACATAAACACAAAAAGAATGAATGGGGGGGAAATAACAGATAAAGATTATTAACAAAATAAAATAAATCAATAAAATAAAATTTAGAAAAGTGGAAAACAGATGATGGAGTGGTAACTTACTTAGCAGACAGGAGAAAGCCAAAAACCTACAGCTTTGTTAGCAAATTCTTTTGTGTATATTTCCTGCAGATGGATATTCTCCTGCACAGTCAAAACACTGCCATCAAAATCAGGAAGTTGACATTAATACGTTACTACTACTTAATCCTTTTACCCTATTTAAATTTCTAGTTGTCCCAATAATCTCTTTAATACAAGAGGAGCTAGTCCACAATTATACGTTGCATTTATTTGTCATATCTCTTTACTCTCCTTCCATCTGAAATCGTTCTTGACTCTTTCCTCGATTTTCATGAACTTGACAAGTCTGATGACTATAGAACAGTTATTTTGAGGAATATCCCACCATTTTGGTTTTTCCAGTGTTTTCTCATGACTAGATTTGGGTTGTGAATCATGGAAGTGATGCTGTGTTCCCATGGCATTCCATCAGGGGATTCTGATGTCTATTTGTCCCATTACCAGTGATATTGAGGTAGGAGGCAAAACTTGACTCCAGAGGCAGGGCTCAGATTCAGGACCAAATTGAGGACTAGCAAAAACAGGTTCCCAGGGGAAGCAGCTTTCCATAAGATACACCCATCCGTATGCCATATCAGTTTACCATTGCCATGGCAACACCTGGACATTACAAGGCCTTTCCATGGCAACGGCCTGATGACCTGGAAGTTACCACCCTCATCCTAGACATTTCTGCATAAACTGCCCCTTAATTTGTGTATAGTTAAAACAGGCATAAATATTAGTGCAGAACCACCTCCAAGCTGCTTCTCTTGGCACACTGCCTTTGGGGTAACCCTGCTTCACAAGGAGCTGCACCTTTCCTGCTGCTGTATGCTGCCAAGTTGCTGTTTAACACCACCTGCTAACCCTTGAATTCTTTCCCAGGCAAAGCCAAGAACCCTTCTGGGCTAAGCCTCAATGTTGGGGCTTGCCTGTTCTATGTTAGTATTATGTTTGGTCATTTGATTAAGAAGGTGTTGGCCATGATTCTCCACTGTAAGTGACTGTTTTTCCCTCTGGAATTAATACTAATATTAGTTTTTGAAGAGGTAAGGTAAACCTATGTAAATATCTGTTCCTCATCTAACTTACAATTTATTCACATTGGTATACATTTCTTTATACCAAATGTGGACTCATGGGTTCCTGTTTTATTTGATGAGTTATAATTTGTTACGATTACTTTTTTTTTTTTTTTCTTTGAGAAGGAGTCTCGCTCTGTGTCACCCAGGTTGGAGTGCAGTGGTGCAATCTCAGCTCACTGCAATCTCCGCCTCCCGGGTTGAAGCGATTCTCCTGCCTCAGTCTCCTGAGTAGCTGGGACTACAGGCACACGCCACCACAAGTGGCTAATTTTTGTATTTTTGGTAGAGACAGGGTTTCACCATATTGGCCAAGCTGATCTCGACCTCCTGGCCTCAAATGATCTGCCTGCCTTGGCCTCTCAAAGTGCTGGGATTACAGGCATGAGCCACCGTGCTTGGCTATAATTTGTTATGATTACTACTAATTTTGATGTTGTTTGTCTCAGATTTGACCAGCGGGGAGCCCATTCCAACTGGATTCTATGCCCTTTAACAGAGCCCCATCATTATTTTGGGGACTTCCTTATTTTTTTGCACAAAACTTTCCAGGCTCATTTTGTGCATCCCCTGTCCCGGTTTGCAAATTATTAATTTCATCAAAAAGCCTCGGATATTTTTGTTTGTTTGTTTTTGGTGGAGAATGGTTTTCAGAAATCAAGATTGGGTCTTTAGGTGTGCTCAATAATATTGAGGTGTTGACATGTTCAAGTCTTGTCAGTGGGCAGAACTAGAAATTACATGTATGCGTATGTATATATCTTTCTATAAAGCCATGAATTCACACCAATTCCAGCTATTGGTTCACTCTTGCTTTCTGCTTTCCATATTTGTAATTCCCTTCTCTGACAATGAGAAAGCTGGTCTCTACTATCATTAATATTCTTTTTTATTTATTTAGGCAGGGTCTTGCTCTGTTGCACAGGCTGGAGTGCAGTGACATGATAATGGCTCACTGCAGCCTCAACCTCCCAGGCTCGGCGATCCTCCCACCTCAGTCTCCCTAGTAGCTGAGACTCCAGGTGCACACCATCAGAGCTGGCTAATTTTTTATTTTTTTGTAGAGATAGGGTTTCACGATGTGGCCCAGGCAGGTCTCAAATTCCTGGGTTCAAGCAATCCCGTGACCTTGGCCTCCCGAAGTGCTGGGATTACAGGCATGAGCCACCACGCCTGGTCAATATACTTATTTATCTCCATATATGTAGCCAATGTCCAGTCACCATTGCTGCTGCCCTTCTCCACACCCTCTTCTCCATGTCCTCCTATTCTCATGTGGCCCTTACCCACATAACTGTAGCATTTATTTGAGTCTCTTAAATATTTCTCAAAACATTAAATAATTTTCAGCGTAAAGATCTTGAACATCTTTTAAAAAATATATTAGTAAATACTGTTGCATGCTTTTGTGGACACTAAATATCTGAGATTGGTCTCAGTCAATTTAGGAAGTTTATTTTGCCAAAGTTAAGGTCATGTGCATGTGACACAGCCCCAGAAGGTCCTGAGGACATGTATCCAAGGTGGTAAGCATAGCTTGGTTTTATACATTTTAGAAAGACATGACACATCAATCAACATATGTAAGATGAATATTGGTTCAGTCCAGAAAGGCGGGACAACTCAAAGCTGGGAGTGGGCTTCCAGGTCATAGGTAGATAAGAGATAAATGATTAACATCCTTTTGAGTTTCTGATTAGCCTTCCCAAGGGAGGCAATGAGATATGCGTTTATCTCAGTGAGCAGAGGGATGACTTTGAATAGAATGGGAGGTAGGTTTGCCCTAAGCAGTTCCCAGCTTGACTTTTCCCCTTAGCTTATGAAATTGGTTTTTATTTTCTAATTGTTTGCTGTTAGTACATAGACATGCAATTGATTTTTTCATACTGACTTTGTATCCTAAGACTTTGTACACTCATTCACTGATTCTAGTAGTTTCGCTGTTATTATTTATTGATTCCTTAGGAGTTTTACATTAACAATCACGTTGTCTGTGAATAGAAAGTTTTATTACTTTTTCTCCTATTTTTATGTCTTTTCTTTCTTTGTCTTGCATTATTGTGATGAACTTCCAACTGAATAGAAATGAAAAAATCAGAAATTCTTTCTTTGTCCTTTATTTTATTTTTTGAGACAGAGCCTTACTCTGTTGCCCAGGCTGGAGTGCAGTGGCATGATCTCAGCTCACTGCAACCTCTGCACCTGGCCAATATACTTATTTATTAACTCCTCCTGGGTTCAAGTGATTCTCCTGCCTCAGCCTCCTGAGTAGCTGGCAATACAGTCACCTGCCACCACGCTTGGCTTTTTTGTGTTTTTGGTAGAGACGGGGTTTCACCATGTTGCCCAGGCTGGTCTGGTCTTGAACTCCTGACCTCAAGTGATCCTCGGCCTCCCAAAGTGCTGGGATTACCGGCGTGAGCCACCACGCCCAGGCTTTTTTTATTTTAGAGATAGGGTCTCCCTTTATTGCCTAGCCTGGTCTTGAACTCCTGGCTTCAAGTGATCTTCCTGCCTCAGCCTCCCAAAATGCTGGGATTTCAGACACGAGCCACCATGCTCAGCCTGTGAAAATATTTTTCATAATAAATTCAATGTATTTAAAAAGGGTTGTTCCAATTTTTTATTTCATATTGTGCCAACTTAGATTTTACTTTTTAAGGAACTTGGCCATTTTATCTAAGTTGTTAATATATCAACCTAAGATAGTTCACACTATTTTCTTATCCTTCAATGCCAATAGGATCTGTAGTGATATCCATACGCTCTTTCATTCCTGACACTGAAAATGTATATTTTCTCCCTTTTTTTCTTAATAGGTCTTGCTAGAATTTTATCTATTTTATTACCCTTTTCAAATAATTCCTTCTGGCTTGCTTATAATTTTCTCTATAGATTGCTTCTGGATTTTTTTTTCCCATCGATATCTGCTTTTTACTCTTTCCTTCTTGCTTTGGGTTTAACTTGTCTTTTTGTAGGTTCTTAAACTGGAATCTTAAGATAATTTATGTTAAGCTTTTCTTGCTGTCTCATATTAGCATTTAAAGATGTAAATACAACCCACAAATTTTTTATGTTGTATTTTCACTAACTTTGTAATATTTTCTCATTTCCCTTATGATTTATTTTTTGCCTCATGTGTTACTTAAAAGTGTGTTGCTTAATTTTCAAATATTTGGGAACTTCCTAGCTATCTTACTGTTACTGATTTCTAATTGAATTCTGTTGTGGTCAGAAAACATACTCTTTCAGAATCCAATATTTATCAACAATTTATTGAGACTTGTTTGATGACCCAGCATTTAGTCCATCTAAGTGAACATTCTATTTGCACTTGGAAGGAATGTGAATTTTCCACTTGGGCTTAGTGTTCCAAAGTTGTCATTTAGGTCAAAGTGATTAATGGTATGGTTTAGATCTTCTATAGCCTTATGGATTTTGTCTCCTAGTTCTATCAATTACTGAGAGAGATATGTTAAAATCTCCAGCAATGATTGTGGATTTGTCTATTTTTTTATTGCTATAATCCTGACAGTTTGTATTTCATGTATTCTGAAGCTCGGTTATTTAGCATACAGTCATTCGTAATTGTTTGGTCCTCCTGATGTATTTACACTCTTGTCATTATGAAATGTCTCTTTTCTTCTCTGCTAACGCTCCTTTTCTTGAATTCTATTTTGTTTGACATAAATACAGCCACTCCAGATTTTTTGTGCTGATTGATTTCATGGTATATCTTTTTCCATCCTTTGACTTTCTTTTTTTTAAATTAATTAATTTATGTATTTATTTTTTTGAGACAGAATCTCACCCTGTTACCCAGGCTGGAGTACAGTGGCATGATCTCGGCTCACTGCAACCTCTGCCTCCTAGGTTCAAGCGATTCTCCTGCCTCAGCCTCCCAAGTAGCTGAGACTACAGGCGCATGCCACCACGCCCAGCTAATTTTTGTATTTTTAGTAGAAACGGGGTTTCTCCATGTTGGCCAGGCTGGTCTCAAACCCCTGACCTCAGGTGATCCACCTGCCTTGGCCTCCCAAAGTGCTGGGATTACAGGTGTGAGCAACTGTGCCTGGCCCATCCTTTGACTTTCAACCTATTGGTGTCTTTGTACCTAAAGTGTGAAAGTGTGCCTCTTGCAGACAGAGTTAAGTCACACTTTTTCAGCTGGTCTGATAATTTCTGCCTTTTAACTGGAGTTTTTTCATCCATGTACATTTAATGTAATTTTTATAGGGTTGGATTTAGGTGTACATTTTGCTATTTGCCTTCTATTTTTCCAGGTTTTATTCCTCTCTTCCTCCTTTCTTGCCTTCTTTTGGATTTTTCAAATATTTTGTAGTATTCCATTTTTATTTTTCTGTTGACTTTTTTGCTATGTCTTTTACATTTTTTAGCAGTTGTTTTAAGGATTTCAATATACATCTCTAATTTGTCACAATCATACTACTTCACATAAAATATAGGAACCTTATAATACTCTAGTTTTATTTACCACTCCCTCAGACTTTGTGAGATTTTTGTCATAGTACATCTACTTATGTTACAAACCCCATAATACGGTGTTATTATTTTCCATTAAACAATCCCATGATTTTTTAAAGAAATTCAGAAAACCAAAATATATATCCTTTTCTATTTACCCAAATATTTACCATTTCCTGTGTCCTTATTATTTTCATTGGATCCAAGTTACCATCTAGTGTCATTCCCTTCCAGCTTGAAAAATTCCCTTTAGCATTTGCTATAGCACAAGTCTGCTGGTGACACATGATCTCAGGTTTTATCTGAAAATATCTATATTTTGCTTTCCTTTTTGCAAGATAATCTTGCTGCATACAGAATTCTCGGTTGGCATTTAGGTTTTAGTACTTAAAGATGTCATACAATTGTTGTCATGGGTTTGGTTCCCTGGGAGACAGACTCCAAGATGGAGTTTATCGCATAGATGTTTACTAAGGAATTTCCTTGGCATCAAAACCTGTGGGAAAAAGAAGAAAGTAAGAGTGGTCAGAAGGAAAAGTTCATCTGTGATGTATGCCCTATAACAGTCTCAGCTGACCACCCGGGAAGATCTGGAGCAAGAACAGCCCTTCAGATACGTCTTGCCACGGACCAAGATGGTCAGGCCCAATTGACTGATCCCTGACTGTAGGCACCTCAGGAAGGGGTATGACCTAGAGTGAGGCAATTCTCGACAGCTGAAGCAATTCCTAAAGAAGCGGACAAATGAAAGTTATCTACTAACAGCACTCTTCACAGCTGGGGCAACGAGTTTTTCACCGAAGGTTTCCTGGGTGTGCATCATAGTCTTCTGGCCCTGTTGTTTCTGATGAGAAGTCTGCTGTCGTTTGTGTTATTGTTTCTCTTTATGTAGTCTATAGAGGTGTTTTTTTTTTTTCTTGGCTCCTTTCTTTTCATCTTTGGAATTCAGCAGTCTGCCACATCCTTAGTGTAGTTTTCCTTGCATTTCTTCTGCTGTGGTTAACTAACCTTTTGGATCTGTAAGTTTATGTTTTTACTAAATCTGGGAGGCTTTGGCCATTATTTCTTCAAATTTTTTTTTCTTCCCTCTTCTCTCCCTCTTCTCTAATTCTGGAAGTCCAATTTCATGTGTTCAACTGCTTGGTATTATATTACAGTTCCCCGAGTAGCTATTCATATATCTTCTATCTTTTCCTCCTCTTTTCTTGAATTTGGATAATTTCCGTTCATTATTTTCTGATTCACTGACTCTTGTGCCACCTCCAATTTGCCATTAAATATATCCAGTAAATTTTTCATTTTATTTACTGTATTTTTCATCTAAAATTTTCGTTTGGATCTTTTAATTGTTTCCATTTTGCTGCTAAGATTCTCCATCTGTTCATTCATTACATGTATTTTCCTGTAAGTCCTTGAACAGTCTTATAATAGCTGCCTTAAAATTCTTGTCTGCTAAGTACCACCTAAGGTTTGCTTCTCATTGACTGGGTTTTTTTTTTTTCTTCTTTTGCATATGTATCATATTTTCTTGTTTCTTATATGTTTAGTCATTTCTTAACTTATACCAGACATAATGAATGACACATTGTAGAGTCTCTGGATTCTGTTACATTGCTAAGAAGAGTGTTGATTTCTGTTCTAGTAGAGAATTAATTTTAATGTGCATATTTCAGTTTTCAGACAAGAATTTGAGCAATGTATATGCAAATTTGGGGGCTTGTTGCCTCTATGAAGCCCTCCCTTCTAGACTTATCCCCAGCTTCCTAGCTGCTTTTCAATCCTGAACACTGTACTCTGACACCACAGTCCAGTAAGGCTGGAACTTTCTTCATCCTCAGCCACCTACTCGATTAGTGAACATCTTAGGGCAAACACTACAAACTCAAAAATCACATTGGTATAGTTCCAACCTTTTAAGGGTAGACTTTTCTCCAGTTTTTGCCTGCTTTCAGTCTCTGTCTGGTATCTTCCGATAGGTGATTTTTAATATTTTCACCCAGACTTTATCATTGTCATCTGTGGGAAGGTTAGTCCCACCAAGTTACATAATTATTACCAGAAGCCAAATTTCCTGATATTATATTTTGCTCCATACTGGAATCATGTCCCCTACCCCCACCCAATTTTTCTTTGTGTTAGAACAGCAGTTTTTGTTCAAATGTTAATCTTCCCACATATCTTTGGGGGTAAGTCGTGATTAGGCTGTCAGTTGTTATAATTTATTGCCCTTGCATCAATCGTGTTTAGGAAGGTTCATATATTAATCAGGAAACCAGAAGCTACTCTATGTAGCCTAGATATTAAGGGTTTTAGTATAGGGAATTTGTGGTTTACCCCCCAGGACCCCCCTAAAAAAAAACCTAAGGGAGCATTGGTAACAGAAGCTACCTGATATGGTTTGGATTTGCGTCCCCAACAAAATTTCATGTCGAACTGTAAACCCCGTGTTGGAGAATGGGCCTGGTGGGAGGGAATTGGATCATGGGGGCAGACATTTCCCTTGCTGTTCTCATGATAGTGAGTTCTCATGAGATCTGGTTGTTGAAAAGTGTGTTGCACTTCCCCCTTACTCTCTTCCTCCTGTCCCAGCCATGTAAGACGTGCCTGTTTTCCCTTCCACCATGATTGTAAGTTTCCTGAGGCCTCCCCAGCCAAGCTTCCTGTACAGCCTGTGGAACTCTGAGCCAATTAAACCTCTTTTTTTTTTTTTAAATAAATTACCCAGTCTCAGGTAGTTCTTTATACCAAGAATGGACTAATACACTGCCACTGACTTTCTCAACCTGAAGCACTCAAAGAAAGTGGTTCTTAAAACTCACCTTGACATTTTTAGCAGTATCACACCTATTCATACTTCTGACCACAACTGACTCTAGAGAATGATCTCTTCATCACTATGGCTCAAGGGTGCCTCTCGTTGTTACATTACACCCTGGAACCATACGACAAAGGGGATTCTGGCAAACATAGTTCCAGGCTTCTCTTCTTCAAAGCAGAGGAGACCTTAGAAGGGGTAGTGTCGATAGTGAATTGACAACAGATGATCCAACACAGGGCATGGGACCCAAATTAGCCAAAGGAACGTGAGGGGACAGGAGCTGGAGAGATTCTGGAAAAGACTTAGCTGCTAATAAACTGAACAATACAAAAAGACTCACAAGAATAGTCCCTCTTCTTCTTCCACTGAATTCATTGTTGTTGTTCATTTTTGCATGACTCTTGGAATAAAAGCATGAATCTTGTGATGATGAAAGGAGCTAGCTGAGATGGAGGCAAATACAGTGTCTAAAACCTATCCAACCTGGATTTCTTGTTGTGTGAAAATAAATATTATTTAAGTCATTTTCAGTTGTTTTTTCTGTTACATGTAACAGACATGGCTCATTTTCATCAAGGAGGTAAATCCCAGAAGGAATGGTTTAAAGGGGTGAAACTGGTAGCCTTCAGGAAACCAGAATAGGAGTGAGGAGGTGTGGTACAGGGTACTTTGTTATTCTATGCCTTCTGCTATTTTTACATTGTAAAGAAGATGTACCACATGGATTCAAAAATCAAAGAAGAGACAAGTCGACAACTTGCCTTCACATCATGCTTTTTGTTTTGTTTTGTTTTTTGTTTTTTGAGATGGAGTCTTGCTCTGTCACCCAGGCTGGAGTGCAGTGGCAAGATCTCGGCTCACTGTAACCTCTGCCTCCTGGGTTCATGCCATTCTCCTGGCTCAGCCTTCTGAGTAGCTGGGATTACAGGCGCAAGCCACCATGCCCTGCTAATTTTTGTATTTTTAGTAGAGACGGGGTTTCACCATATTGGCCAGGCTGGTCTCGAACTCCTGAACTCCACCCGCCTCGGCCTCCCAAAGTGCTAAGATTACAGGCATGAGCCACCACACCCGGCACATCATGCTTTTTTTTAATTCACTCTGACCTGAAGTGCAAAAGAAAATGGTAGCTCTAATTTCTGGTGATCATCCATTCTAGCTGCCTACTAAAGAGCTTCCTAAGTGAATCCCATTCTCATTCCCCTTAGTCCACCATCTATCTGCAACCAAAATAATCACTCTGAAGGACAAATATGATCACATCCTTATTGTGCTTAAAATCCCTAATGGAACTCTAATTTTACCTCTATAGGATAAATTCTAAAGTTCTTAATATGGCATCCAAGACCCTTCCTGATTTGACCCCTGACATTCTCTGAGAATTATTCCAGCCACTCTGAAAATCTTGCTTTTCTCTAGACACTCCATGCTCTCTCAGACCTCCATTCCTTTGCACATACTGTTTCTCTGGGGTGGAACCGCCTTCCTAATCCCTTCTACCTCTTTTTTGAAGTTTTCTTACTCCCCACTCCTTCTACAGTCTCTTCTTCCAGATACATTGTGGATACCTAAAGCCTTCATCAGCATGGATTATATAACAGTTCAAAAGTCACTTATGAGAAATTCTGAAATCCAGAAAATCTCTGGGTATCTTCTGCATCACAAAAATATAAGTTTATTAATCTCATGGCCACACATCGTATCACACACATATTTAACTTTATGAAGAGAAGGGGAGGAAAGGAGATAAAGAGAAAATCCATAATGTCATCAAGGCATGAATAGATAACGTCAATTTATTTTTTAATGTTGCTGTTGGGAATTGCTCTTTTAGCTCTTCCCAGGGAATACTAAAATATTTTTTGAGTAACTCATTTGCTGGCAAAAACTGAATTGAACTGTTTATATGTATATTTATAATCTCAATGGATCCTACTTTGAGTGAATATTGGTTAATTTTGTTGCATTTATATTAATGGGTTCCATTACAGAGTGGAGACTCGGGCCCCACAGATGGTATTATGTAGCTTATTTTTGGACTGGGGCTATAGATGCACACACTTGTACATATAGAGTTTGTGTATCTGTGGCCCCACTCCAAAAATGGCCACTGCAATACTTCTCATTCCCACAAATTCTTCCAAAACGTCCACTTCTCATCAAGAGGTGAGGCCTGTTTCTTCTTCCCCTTGAAACTGGGATTTTATGCCTGCCTTGATGGATAAAAAGCAGTGGAATAGACACTGTTTGACTTTCAACGCCAGGTCTTCAAAGGTCATATGGCTTCTGCCTGTCTTCCTTTTTCTCTTGAACTTCCTGCCCTTGGAACCCAGTCACCATGTCCCAGGCCACATGGTGAGGTCACATGGAGGTGTTCTGACCCACAGTCTCTGCTAAGGTTTCAACCACCAGCCAACACCAACCACTGGACATGCCAGCAAATAAACCTTAATGTGACCCCTGCCCTGGGCATGCAAGCATCCCACCTGTTGGCCAAATGGAGCAAAGAAAAGCTGCTGCCACCAAGACCTGCCCAAAATGCAGATTCATGAGAAAAGTGAATGTTTTTGTTGTTTTATTAAAACCCACTAAGTTTGGGGGTAATTGTTATGCAGTCATAGGAACTAGATTACCATCATCTTACATTAAGATGTGAACAATTCTGAATTCCAAAACCTTCCAAAGGTTTTCAGATAAGACATGTACACTATAATCATGCATTTGTATATCTATTTTTCAGTGGAATTAGAAGTTCTCTGAAGACAAGAACTAAGTCTTTTTATCTTGGTATTCTCAGAGCCAGTGTCTAAGAGTTAGTAGGTCCTCAAGGCATGTTTGCTGAACTAATGAAAGAATAAACCAAAGAAAAAACACAGTTCGAAACAACTGGCTATTTCAAAATAATTATTTGAGTCTATGCTTTTATTCAACCCAGTCCATTGCCCAAAAATAACTTAGAATGTCTTATTTTTATAATTATTTTCAGTTTATAAACCATAAAAAATTTCATTAGCTTTCCTACTTTGTTTTTATCCTAAAATATTATCTATTATGATCATGTATTTTGTCTATCAAACTATGTTCCAAATTATCTTTGGCTGTTTCCAAAAATCAAATGCATCATTAAGGACGAATGTTTTCCCATTACTGAGACTAATAAAAATAATTTGACATAAACTCTGAAGGTGATTCCAAAACAGGAGATCGCATTGTTTTTGAACAATGCAGTGCTCAAATGCCATGTAATGCAATGAGGTGTTGATGCAAAGACTTCAGCATCCATGGTGACACCTTTAGAAGAGACAAAAACCCCACTAATTTGGAGTGTAAATTCTATGTTGCATAACAAAAATATAAGTTTATTCATCTCATGATCACATATCATATCACACAAGTATTTATGAAGAGAAAGGGAGGAAAGGAGATAAAGTCCATAACATCATAAAAGCATGAATAGATAACATCAATTTCTTTGTTAATGTTCCTGTTGGGAATACCTACGGTATGAGTCCGTTCTCATGCTGCTAATAAAGACATATCCGAGACTGGGTAATTTATAAAGGCAAGAGGTTTAATGGACTCACAGTTCCACATGGCTGGGGAGGCTTCACAGTCACGGTGCAAGGCAAAAGAGAAGCAAAGGCATGTCTTACATGGCAGCAGGCAAGACAGCATGTGCAGGGCAACTCCCATTTATAAAACCACTGGATCTCCTGAGACTTATTCACTATCATCAGAACAGTCTGGGGGAAACCTCCCCCATGATTCAATTATCTCCACCTGGCCTTGCCCTTGACACATGGGGATATTACAATTCAAGATGAGATTTGGGTGGGGGACATAGCCAAACCATATCACCTACTTTAGCTCTTCCTCGGGAATGTTTGAATGATGAAATAAGTAAGGCACTACTTTTACAGTTTCGCTGCCCAACATTGGTTTGGTTCAACTTTAATAAATCCTTGCTGCCCTGTTTTCCTCCTTCCTCACTTTAAGTCAAGGGCTTGAAGGGGGTTGCATGTAAGAGCAGCTCAGCATCATTCACATTCAGAGGAAACATCAATGTGATAGCAAAAAGAGAAAAAAGTTATTGAAATAAATATAAACACAGTCTCTCAAAAGAATGTCAAAAGGGGGATGAATCTTCCAACCCACAGCAGAAGTTCTTGAAAAGCTGATTTCACCTTTGCCTTCTCTCTGATATGGCACAGAGCCCAGCAGGACATCCCCTTCTTTCTCTTCCTATTCTTCCGTAATCCCTCTCTCTACCCCTCTCCCTCCCATGCCCCTTCCCACATGCACCCCACCGCATCCTTCTTTCTGTCCTACCCATCTCAACTTCTGAATCTGTTCTTTTCTCCTGGATGACTAGCTTGCTGCCTTTTCTCTATCAACTAAACTGGCCTTGACTTCATTTAGTTCCCTCCTTCTTTCATTAACCCAGTCCTGTACAATTCTGGGCCCAGGAACACAGCATGGGTGACAACAGAATTCTCTTTTTCAAGGCAATGAGTGGGAGAACCTGGAATCCTTAGGCACATATACATATACATATGTATATGTTGTCATAACAACACCTTACACATGGAATTATATTTCCCTAAATAGTAGTAGTAATATGGGTAACCTCATCTATATCTCTATAGTTAGGGTATCATAAAATATACCATGGTCTAGGCCCAGTGTGGTGGCTCATGCCTGTAATTCCAGCACTTTGCGAGGCTGAGGCAGGCAGATCTCTTGACATCAGGAGTTCAAGACCAGCCTTGCCAACATGGTGAAACTCCATCTCTACTAAAAATATAAAAATATAAAAATTAGCTGGGCATGGTGGTGTGCACTTGAAGTGCCAGTTACTCAGGAGGCTGAGGTAGGAGAATCATTTGAACCCAGGAGGTGGAGATTGCAGTGAGCCGAAATGGCACCACTGCACTCCAGCCTAGGCAGCAGAGCAAGAAATAATATATATATATATATATATATATATAATATATATATATATATATATATATATATATATATATATATATATATACCTTGGCCTGACTCCAGATGAACAGTTCAGGGACCAGCTATTCACCGATATATATTGCTGCCTATTTGGATAAATTGGTATTGATTTAAATGGATGGGTATCTCATCCAATTGAGAGCTATCTCATCACTGAGGCTACCTTAATCCTGGGGTCCCCCTCGTTGGACCTGACATCTCAGCACCAATTTCAAAGGCCTGGAAATTGCCAAGGACCTGGCAATGAGTGTCAAGTATCCTGTCTTCTATTCCCCAACCCCACTCCACTCTGAACTCTGAGCCCTGGGTGAAGTTCTGGGAAATGAAGGGTGAGCAAGCTGCAGGAGTAGAACTTCCCATTTACGATAGGGTTGCCAAATAAAATACAAGACACCTAGTTCAATTTGAATGCATAATTTATTAGTAGAAAGCATGAACCAAATGTTTCATGGGACATACTTATACTTTTTAGAAAAGTATTCATTGTGTGGAATTCAAATTTAACTGGGTGTTCCTGTTTGATTCACCCCCTAGATCTTGTAACCCTAATTTATGACATTTGGTGACAGAATATCAACCAGGAATACCTAATGCTTAAAATGAGAATTCTCAGGTACATAGTGCCTCTTGAGTTGCCCACAAAAATATACCTAAAACATCAGAATATTTAAAAGTCAGCCTCTAAGTACGGCAGGTCAGACAGAGGCAGTCTGAAGCATGAAGATGCTTAGGTAGCTGAAAGTGTTTTATTGGTGTACTACAGACAGAGATCAAGTCAGCTTATGCTTAAAGAGTAGATGAGGTTGGAACCCTGCGAAAATTTACTTGTCAGCATTACTTGTATAGATGAGTTCAAAGTCTCCTCTTATTCCCTGGAAAAGGCATTGGGAATTTCAAAGCAAAATACTTGCAGGAATGTTTTATTTTATTAATTATTTTTTGAAACGAGGTCTCGCTCTGTTGCCCAGGCTGGAGTACAGTGGCATGGTCTCGGCTTGCTGCAACCTCCACCTCCCGTGTTAAAGTGATTCTCCTGCCTTAGCCTCCTGAATAGCTGGTATTACAGGCACGTGCCACCATGCCTGGCTAATTTTTGTATTTTCAGTAGAGACGAGATTTCACCATGTTAGCCAGGCTGGTCTCAAACTCCTGACTTCAGATGATCCGCCCGCCTGGGCATCCGAATGTGTTGGGATTAAAGGAGTGAGCCACCGTGCTCAGCCCCATTTAGCTTTTAAACAATTATTTAGTCATATGAAGTTACACTGCTGTAGTTTCAATATCTGCTAAGAATTGGGGTGAGAGTACTTTTTTCTTTTTTTCTAAGAATAATCAGGATTGAAGATAAGAAAGTGAGTTAGCCACATTAGACTGTATTTATCACTTTGAATATTCACTTTTCTACTCAGTCTGTGTTAGATTTTTCAGGAAAAAAAATCATGAGCTTTTTGAGCACTTTTGTGATGCCTACCACTATCACTCTTTAAATTTTCCTAGTCAGTGTAGTTTGTTTTATTGTAGCATCTTTGGTCTTTAAGTTTTCTCAATTTGGCAATGTAGATTTCCTTCCAATTTTAAAACATTCGCCGGGCATGGTGGCTCACACCTGTAATCCCAGCACTTTGGGAGACTGAGTCGGGTGGATCACTTGAGGTCAGGAGTTCAAGACAAGCCTGGCCAACATGGTGAAACCCCATCTCTACTAAAAATACAAAAATTAGCTGGGTGTGTTGGCGCATGTCTGTAGTCCCAGCTATTCCGGAGGCTGCGGCAGGAGAATCACTTGAACCCAGGAGGTGGAGGTTGCAGTGAGCTGAGATGGCACCAATAAACTCCAGCTTGGGCAACAGAGAATGAGAGACTGTTTGGTCCCCGCAGTCAGTCCAGACTAAGGAGTGTGCTTGCTCAGCTCAACAGCAGTCCCCATGGTGCATGGAAGCACACAGCCACTCCCCATTGCCTGAATAGTATGGGGTCCCGAACAGGGAGTTTGGGTCGATGATGAGATGGAGCCTGAGTGAACTCAGAGCATCTCAGAGATCAGAGCAGAGAAACAAGAAGAGGCATTTTGGGTGTGTTCAGAGAAGTAGGGCAGGGTGGGGCTTCAGGGTGAAGGTTCAGGCAGGAGCAGGTGAGGGACTAGCTTGCTTTTCTTTTCACTGAAGAATTCCAAAAATTATTTCGCATCTTCTACTCTGTTTGAAAAGAATGCTATTCTACTGAAATATGACTGCAGAGTTAAAGCAAGTCTGTTAAATCTCATCGAGGAAAATAAACCTAGACTCACCCGACCTGGCAACCTCTTCCTGCATGTCCCCTCTCCCCATCCGCAAACACTGACCTGTCTGAATTCCATTCCGTGTTGCTTTTAGTGTTTTTGATGTGGTGTCTGATGTGAAACACAGCAGGTCCTTCTCATCTTAACAGCCTGCTAACCTATGCACTCACTGAATGCCGAAGCAATCTCTTAGATACCCTCATTTCCTACAGGGGCTGGAACCTAGAACAAAGTGCTGTGGACATAAGCAGGCATTGAGAGTGAATTAATGAATGCAACCTCCAAATTGCTAACATTTAAAAATACTAATTAGTGGCTGGGCGTGGTGGCTCACACCTGTAATCCCAGCACTTTGGGAGGCCAAGCTGGGCAGATAGCTTGAGGTCAGGAGTTGGAGACCAGCCTGGCCAACATGGTGAAACCCCATCTCTACTAAAAACACAAAAATTAGCCAGGCATGGCGGTGCACGTGTGTAGTCCCAGCTACTCCGGAAGCTGAGACAGGAGGATCACCTGAGCCTGGGAGGCAGAGGTTGTGGTAAGCTGAAATCACACCACTGCACTCCAGCCTGGGTAACGTAGCAAGACCCTGTCTCAAAAAATAAAAATAAAAATACTAATTAGTATAATATGATTGCTCTCAAAAATAAAACAGAATGGAATCACAGAGATTCTCTTGCCTTGACAGTTCTTAAGGCAGACTCCTTTAGAATGAGACTGAAGTGCAAAGTCGGGCAAGTGTATAATAGACTTCAGTCTCCTGAGTTGTCAGTTCGGCAACCTCCACTAGAGTTAAATTAGCCATAAGAAAATGAATGAAAGTGCCAGCATGCTATACACATCAGGAAAAAGAACAAAATGAAATCATATTGACAAAATACGTCTCTCTTTCCTCTAGAATTGTTCATTTGATCTTTGTCCCAAACCTTCCTTGACATGATTAACCAAAGATTGAAAATTGAAGATATGAGACACATAAAAGGTTATTTGAACCTGTAATCCCAGCACTTTGGGAGGCCGAGGCGGGTGGATCACCTGAGGTTGGGAGTTCGAGACCAGCCTGACCAACATGGAGAAACCCCCCCGACTTTACTAAAAATACAAAATTAGCTGGGCGTGGTGGTGCATGCCTGTAATCCCAGCTACTCTGGAGGCTGAGGCAGGAGAATCACTTGAACCCAGGAGGCAGAGGTTGCAGTGAGCCGAGATCACACCACTGCACTCCAGCGTGGGCAACAGAGCAAGACTCCATCTCAAAAAAAAAATAAAAATAAAAATAAAAATAAAAAGGTTATTTGATTATCTACTCTGGTTTTGAGGCCACATGGACAATTACACATTCCCTATAGAAATATTTTCTAGAGCTCTGTCCATTCCATTCCCAGTACTCTAAATGTCTTGAAGTCTTTTTCCGAGGAGCTTATTCCAGTTAGGCTGAAATACCTGACAGTTTTTCTAAAACTTCTATTACAATTTGTCTCATTTAAATTTTGCCCCATTACTCCTACTTAGACCCTCTTCCCGTCACTGTCTTGTAGATAATTTTCATATTCCTTTTTAGGTATAATTTAACTGTGCTTCACACATTAACTTGAGTAGACAGTATATGGTATAAATTACAGAAAACAGCGATGTGTGAAGACACTCTGTGGTGAATAAATTAAGGCATTAATTTCAGACATATCAAACTAACACTTTTTAAATTTGTGGTTCCTCTGATTGATTTTCAGACCTGTTTCCAAGGTCTTCGGAATGGCGGAATTAAATGAAAGTGATTAGTCTAAAACTTCTAGCTTTACTTCATAGGTTGGAGATTGGCCATTCCTGATATAAATATATTCATATTTAAAAAAGGAAGAATGTTAAAAAGAGAATGTAACATGGAGGGCCTGTTCAGATTGAAGGCGATGTCGGCACAGGTGAAAAAGATTGGGTTTATCAGGAGGCTGAGGCAGGATAATCGCTTGAACTGGGAGGCGGAGGTTGCGGTGGGTTTAGCAGCGCTTCAGATATGATTGCCTTAGTTGGGCAGTCGGGAGAGAATAAAGACTGTCCATTGGGAGAGGACTTCATGACCCACCGGGTATTTGCTAATGCATCTGAATGTGCTGAAGGACTGAACATGTTCATAATATGAAGGAAAGATTTTTTAAAAGGAGAACCTCCCTCAAATTTAACCAAAATCTCTATGTGCAAAGGAAAAACTTCCCAGCACAGGCTCTCCTGAGATTCGGGAATTTCTGACTTCCACACTGATAGAGAATTACAGACATGGAGCTGGCACTGAAACACACACACACACACCACAACCACCACTACCACCACCATCAGCACCACCCACATTCTTTTTCCATAATGATGTTACAAGAAAGGGGTCCGCGTCCAGACTCCAAGAGAGGAAGAATTCAGAGCGAGTCCATAAAGTGAAAGTTTACTAGGAAAGTAAAGGAATAAAAAAATGGCTACTCCATAGATAGAGCAGCCCCAGGGCTGCTGGTTGCCTATTTTCATGGTTATTTCTCAATTATACGCTAAACAAGGGGTGGATTATTTGTGCCTCCACCTTTTTTCTTTTTTCTTTTTTCTTTTTTTCTGTCTTTTTTTTTTTTTTTTTTTTTTTTTTTTTGAGACGGAGTCTTGCTCTGTAGCCCAGGCTGGAGTGCAGTGGCGCGATCTCGGCTCACTGCAAGCTCCGCCTCCCGGGTTCACGCCATTCTCCTGCCTCAACCTCCTGAGTAGCTGAGACTGCAGGCGCCCACCACCATGCCCAGCTAATTTTTTTTTTGTATTTTTAGTAGAGACGGGGTTTCACCGGGTTAGCCAGGATAGTTTCGATCTCCTGACCTCATGATCCGCCCGCCTTGGCCTCCGAAAGTGCTGGGATTACAGGCGTGAGCCACTACGCCCGGCCATGCCTTCCCTTTTTAGACCGTATAAGGTAACTTCCTGATGTTGCCATGGCATTTGTTAACTGTCCTGGCGCTGAAATGTAGCAGTGAAGATGATCAGAGGTCACTCTCGGGGCCATCTTGGGCCAGCTTCTTTACTGCAACCTGTTTTATCAGCAAGGTCTGTGTGACCTGTATTTTGTGCCGACCTCCTATCTCATCCTGTGACTTAGAATGCCTTAACCGTCTGGGAATGCAGCCCAGCAGGTCTCAGCCTCATTTTACCCAGCTCCCATTCAAGATGGAGTCGATCTGGTTCACATGCCTGGGACAGTGAGGCTTGGGAAAGAATCAAGTCTATCTCTGTTCCCAGTTTTTTCTTCACAGTATTTATCACTGATGCTACATTTTTAGTTTATTTATTATTTATCTCCCCCCACTTCCCACCTAGAATTTAAACTCCACGAGGACAGAAAATGTGTTTTGTGTTGTTCACTTCTGAGCCCCCCAAGTCTAGAAGAGTGCCTGGCTCATCCTAGGTAGTCAATAGATACTGGTTGAAGGAATGAATTCATTTACTTGGCACTGATTCTCTAAGGAATCAAAGATACACAAAGATACACTTCTCTGCTAGAAAGAGCTAGAAAAGAAAACAAAAACTTATTATACTGTGGAAAGAAGTTCTTTAAATTCCTAATGGTAAGCTTTGAGATCGTATTAATCCCTAATCAATAAAGCAGGAAGCAGCTCAAATCTGACAATCTTTTTTTTTTTTTTTTTTTTTTTTTTTTTTGAGACAGGGTCTCCCTCTGTCACCCAGGCTGGAGTGCAGTGGTGCAATTTTGGCTCACTGCAACTTCTTCTGCCTCCAGAGTTCAAGCGATTCTCCAGACTCAGCCTCCTGAGTAGCTGGGACTACAGGCATGAGCCACCACACAAGGCTAATTTTTGTATTTTGGCAGAGGTGGGGTTTCACCATGTTGGCCAGGCTGGTCTCCAACTCCTGAGCTCAAGCGATCCACCCACCCCGGCCTCCCAAAGTGCTGGGATTACAGACGTGAGCCACTGTGTCCGGCCAGATCTGACAATCTTCTTAAAGGCACTAGAGATGAGGCTCCATGAGGGCACAGGCTGTGCCTCGCTTGTCTTTTTATATTAGCTCATCCCACAGGCCTGGTATCTTGAATGAATAAGAGCCGACTGGAAGAGCTGACATAGATCACACTAGCCCCGGGGGTAAGCACTTAAGTGCATCAATTCATTCACTCTTCACAATATGTGAGAGGTACAATTAGTGTCCCAGTTTCCAGGTGAAGAAAACAAGGCATAAGAATATAGAACTACCAGTCCTTAATGGCTTGCCTCTCCGCTCCAGAGCCACCCTGCTTTGTGACCCTGGAGCTGGCGGCACATTAGGTCTTGTCAACAGAGGGCACCAGAGGGACGCCGCAGGACCACAGTCTTGGGAAGCCCCTTCCTGTGCAGGATCTGGTCCTCCATTGTTCCTGTTCAGTGTGGGAGCTCAGGGGCCACCTTGGCAGAGCTCCAGCTGCATGCTCAGGCCACAGTGTTCTTACAGGTAGCTGCTTCTGCAGACTAGCTCTGGCCCTCACCTTCTGGAAAGTCATTTGCCTGCAGCAGCCTGTGTGCTCTTAAAAAATAAGACTGAATCCCTGCCTGGGGGTGGGGGGTGAGGGGACCCTCCTCCTCCCTCCTCCTCCCTCCTTCCTTTAGCATCCCCTCTCCCTCAGCAAGAGGCAGTGGCTGCTTCTGTGCACCTGCTACTTCTGTACCCCTTAGACGCCTCCATTACCTTTTAGTAACTAACCGTCTTCTAAGACTTAACAATTATTTACATTAAATTTTCCCTGGGTATAGTATGAGTAGGGTAATATAGTGTATCAGATACAGAATTGGCCAGGGTTGTACCACCACGAAGTGATAAACCTGGGTTTCAAACCCAGGAAGTCTCCAGAGTGTATGCCATAAACTCCCATGCTACACTGTCACAAATGTTTGGGATAAAACTCGGGTTAACACTGCCTGCAGTCTGAATACTTCTAATGCTGCAGGAGGTATTTACTTACCTAGGAGTTTCATTCAATTGCAACAATGAGAATTGCAATATCATGGTAAGGTGCTCGATTTCCCCTCAGGTATGGCATGGACTAACACCAAATGACCATAAATTTGAATTTTTCAAATCACTTTCACATGCAGGATTTCACCTGTAAACAACTTGGCGGAGTTGATAAGGCACATGTTATTCTTTCTATAGAAAAGAAACTGAAGCTTACAAATAATAGAAACTTGCATGGTGAGTGGTAAGCAAGTCTCCCTAAACCCAGCCAGAATTTCATCTGCAATATCACTGTCTTGTCTCGGGGTTTAGTTACTCCAGAATCAATTTGACTGGGAGGAGGAAAAAGGAATCTCTGAAAGATCTCTACGTCCTAATCCTTGGAACTGTGAATGTTGCCTTATTTGGGGAAAAAAAAAAAAAAGGGCGGCGGGGGGAGGGTGGGGGTGGTTTGCAGGTGTGATTAGTTAAGGACCTTGTGAAGGGAGATTATCCTGGATTACATACACCTAAATGTCATTATAAGTGTCCTTATAAGAGATGAGGAGGAGACTTGCACACACAGGAACAGGAGATGGTGATGTGAAGACAGAGAGAGCAATGCAGAGATTGGAGTGATGCGGCCATAATCCAAGGAATGCCAGCATCCTGCAGAAGCTGGAAGAGAAGAGGAAAGAACAAGAAGAGGCAAGGCACAACTTTCCTCGAGAGCCTCTGGATGGACCTCAGCCTGGAGGTTGCCTTGATTTCACCCCGGGGCTACTGATGTCACACTTCTGGCCTCTCGAATGGTGAAATAGCAAATTTTTATTGTTTGAAGCCACCAAGTTTGTAGTCACTTGTTACAGCAGCCTCAGGAAACTGATACACTGATAAATTCAAGCTTAAGAGAAAAGTTTATACAGATAGAAGAAAATTTCTTAACATGACATAAAAACATTTGTAAACTCAGCTTCATTAAAATTAAGAACATTAAGATGAAAGCATGAGCTACAGATTGTGAGAAGACATTTGTAATACAAATATCCTCCAAAATACATACCTAGAATATAA
This sequence comes from Homo sapiens, assembly GCF_000001405.40. Classification (NCBI taxonomy): domain Eukaryota; kingdom Metazoa; phylum Chordata; class Mammalia; order Primates; family Hominidae; genus Homo; species Homo sapiens. The sequence continues at coordinate 13,535,241 of NC_000010.11, read as the reverse complement.
AAAGAACTTCAAATGGCAAAACTGCAACTACTTTTGCACCAACCTAATAATTTTTTTTTTTTAGATGAAGCCTCCCTCTTGTCCCCCAGGCTGGAGTGCTAATGTCGCGATCTCAGCTCACTGCAACCTCTGCCTCCTGGGTTCAAGCGATTCTCCTGCCTCAGCCTCCCAGGTAGCTGGGATTACAGGCGCCTGCCACCACACCTGGCTAATTTTTGTATTTTTAGTAGAGATGGGGCTTCACCATGCTGGCCAGGCTGGTCTCAAACTCCTGACCTCAGGTGATCTGCCCGCCTCGGCCTCCTAAAGTGCTGGGATTACAGGCTTGAGCCACCATGCCCAGCCCAACCTAATAATTTTCAAAAGACCAACAACTCAAAAATGTTTGAACGGGCAAAAGATTGAAAGTGCTCATCACAAAAGAAGATGTCCAAATGACCAATACGCATAAGAAAATGTGCTTAATGTCATTGGACAATTGGGGAATGCAAATTAAAATCCCAGTGAGCTAAGATACCATTACACCCTCTCACTATGGCTAAAATTAATAGGACTGATAATATCAAGTGTTGGTGAAGATATGAGATAACTAGGACTCTCATACACTGTAAGTGGGAGTATATACGGATAGAATTACTTAGAAAAATGGCTGGGTGCAGTGGCTCATGCCTGTAATCCCAGCACTTTGGGAGGCTAAGGCGGGTGGATCACTTGAGGCCAGGAGTTCGAGACCAGCCTGGCCAACATAGCAAAACCCCGTCTCTACTAAAAACACAAAAAATTAGCTGGGCATGGTGGCACACACTTGTAATCCCAGCTACTAGGGAGGCTGAGGCAGGAGAGTTGCTTGAACCCAGGAGGCGAAGGCTGCAGTGAGCCAAGATCACACCACTGTACTCCAGCCTGGGTGACAGAGCAAGATTCAGTCTAAAATAAAAAAAAAGAAGAAAGGAATTACTTAGAAAAACTATTTTAATAGTAGTCTACTAGATCTAAACAATGTATATACTATAATACAGCAATCCTACTCATGGATATATGTGAGATAAAGTGTGCTTATGTGCACCAAAAGACATGAACAAAAATGTACAAGAATATCCATCGACAGTAAATTAAAAATTGTGCTACATTCTTATAATGAAATAATGTACAGCAATGAAAAGTGATGAACTACTGCTATAGCCAATGTCATGAATGAATCTCACAGGCATAACATTAAGCAAAAGAAGTCAGACAAAAAATAGCACACACTCTATGACACCACTTATATGAGGTTTAAGAGCAGGCAAACCCAAGCTATTGTGATAGAGGTTAGAAGTGTGGTTTCCTTGGGGGGCTATCTACTTTGAGGGGCCTCAGGGAAGCCTACTGGTGTGCTGGAAAAGTTCTAAATCTTCATCAGGGTGGGGGATACATGGATGTATATATAAGTAAAACAAATTAATTGAGATATCCACTGAAGGTTTGTGTTCCTTATCATATATAAGGTAGATCTTAAAAAGAACAAAAAAAAAGTATTTTAAAGAACCAAGTAAAAAAAAATAAGGTTCATGCATCATATTTAAGAGTCAGGAAACAGCAGACCATTCTAATTTCACTAAAAAATGGTCTTCAGAATGGATTTTTCTCATTTGCAAAATTGGAATATTAATATATACCAATCTCATAGAACTATTAAGAGTTAGATAATGCATACCTATGCTTGAGCTGTAAAAGAAGCCCCATATAAAATATAAGGTAATATTATTTGTGGAACATTCCAACTCTCATTTTCACTTATGAAATATCTTATAAATACTGCCTCCTTTCTCTTAAATTACAATCACCAAAACCAATGAAGTAAACGGGTGTAGAAACTGCATTAGGCCAGCAACACTTGGGAAACGGCAGCTAAAAGGAGGGCATCTATTCCTTCCATGACCGTCTGATGGGTGATTGTCCTAATGTTGAAAAGTGGATATTTATACATATTAAATCTTCCTGAAGGATTCCCAGAATCTATTTAATGACAGGATATTCAATTCCAGAAAATCCAATCAAAGATTATAAAAAGCCTGAAGCCCAATAATTCCATTCTGCTCATCTTCTTTCTGAGGTGTATTAATAAAACAGTTAAACAGTAATCAAGTTGTAGACATACTACATCTACGTACATAGCATGGTTCAAATCATACATTCCTTCTAAATCTGAGCTGCCCAGTATGGTCACCTGTAACTACATGTGACTATGGACAATTTGAAATTTGGCTAGTTTGAATTGATTTGTAATCTAAGGGTAAGATGCATACCAATTTCAAAACTTTGTATAACAAAAAGCATATAAACTATCTCAATAATAATATTCTCATATTATGTGTCAAAATGATAATATTTTAATGTATTCAGTTAAATAAGATAAATTATTAAAATGAATTTCATCTGTTTATTTTTACTTTTTTCAGTGTGGCTAATAGGACATTTTAAATTACATACATAGCTTGCATTGTATTTCTATTCGACAGCAGAGCTCTAAATAAAGATGAAACTTTTCATAATGCTATTCCTCTCAGGACAGTTTTCAGGAAGAGCATTTCAAGTATTAGCGGTAAGGTTACTTCAGGTTTTCTGGCCAAATTATCTGGCTTTGTCAAAGATTGAAACCAACATGTAATCTTTATAATCAAGTGGGTTTAAGCATGGCCATATAATAAAATGTTTGCCCTGCGTGATGTCATTGAATATTTGACCAATTATCTCTGATCTCCAGTAACACATAAACCTGTGGTTCTGGAACTTTAGGGGGCCTTTAAGAATGAGGCAAAGAGTGCTAGCTTCGGCAGCACATATACTAAAATTGGAAAGAATGGGGTAAAGAAATGACTTCAGTAGATCCCCTAGAAAACTTTCCAGGACCCCTCAATACAGACATTATATTTGAGTGAAAACAAGATGGCTACAGACTGATTTGTGTCCCCCACAAACTCATATGTTGAATCCCTGACTCCTAACGTGACTGTATCTGGAGATTGAACCTTTAATAGAAGGTAATTAAGGTTAAAAGAGATCATAAAGGCGGAGCCCTAATTTGATAAGATTGGTGGCCTTACAAGAAGAGGGAGAGAAAGACAGCTCTCTTCCTATGCCATGTAAGTGTAGTGGTGTGCAAGCTAAGAAAAGGGCCCTCGCCAGAAACTGACCCTGCCAGACCTAGATCTGAAACTTGCAGCCTTTAGAATGGTAAGAAAATAAGCTGCTGTTAAGTCACCCAGTATGTGGTATTTGTTAAGATAGCCCGAACAGGCTAATACAGTAGTCCCCCTTTATCCATGATTTCAGTTACCTGCAGTCACCTATGGCCTGCAAATATTGAATGGAAACTTCCAGAAATAAACAATGCATCAATTTAAAATTGTGCCCCATTTTGAGTGGCATGATGAAATCTTTAGCCAACCTGCTCCTTCCGGCCCAGAATAGGAATCATTCTTTAGCCTAGCGTATTCACATTGTCTGCACTATCTGCTCGTTAGTCACTTGTTGGCTTGGTTATTAGAAAACATAAAACAATAAAAAACACGGTATATATGGGGTTTGATGGTAACATAGTATATACGGGGTTCGGTACTATCCTCAGGTTCAGACATCCACTGAAGGTCTTGGACATACTCCCCAAGGATAAGGATCAGCTACTATATGGATACCTGCTACTTAAAGCAATCTCACTTTATGTTTTATTTTATATTTTAATTTTTTGGTAGAGACCGGGTCTCAGGATGTTATCCAGGTTGGTCTTGAATTTCTGGCCTTAAGCAATCCTTCTGTATCCCAAAATGTTGGGATTACAGGTGTGAGCCACTACACCTGGCCCCAAGCAACCTCATTTTAATTAAACATTATTATTAATTTTAATACTAAATGTGATATATACATTTTTGTTAGATAAGAGCATAGTGATTTGCACAAAATGCAGAGTAAACAGACATTTATTTTCTCTAAAAGCTAATAAGACAAGCGTAGCCTGTGTCCTCTGCAGGCCAACTCACTCATAGACCAACTTTGGAAAGCCAGGTTAAAAAGGGTCAAGGAGAAATGACTACTATTTAAAAATATTCTTACTCAAATATTTTATTCTTAACTATATCAAAAATATTCTCTTCAGTAAATGGAATTTGCATTCCCACTTGAACTGAAAATGCTAAGTTGTTAATACCTTCTCCAGGGATTTACTTCTTGGGATGACACCTTCACTGGGTTCGTCATAGTTTAAGCATAATAAAATCTCATTATATGCTCCAAAGCATGAACGATCCGGGAAGTTCCTCAGTCAGTGTAGAACTTAGCCTTACGGCTTTGAGAATAACATTTTAAAAGGCATTACATAAAGAAAGAATGGATCCCAGCCTGGGGAACAAAATTGCATGCTTTGTTTCTTTAAAAACATCCAAAACAGCCGGACGTGGTGGTTCACGCCTGTAATCCCAGCACTTTGGGAGGCCTAGGCGGGCTGATCACTTGAGGTCAGGAGTTTGAAACCAGCCTGGCCAACATGGCGAAACCCCATCTCTACTAAAATACAAAAAATTAGCTGGGCGTGGTGGCCCATGCCTGTAATCCTAGCTACTTGGGAGGCTGAGGCAGGAAAATCGCTTGAACCCGGGAGGTGGAGGTTGCAGTAAGCTGAGATCGCACCACTGCACTCCATCCTGGGCGACAGAATGAGACTCTGTCTCAAAAAATAAAAAATAAAAAAAAATCCAAAACATCTTCAGATTTTAATGCCTGATTTTAAAGAAAGGGGTGGCAGGGAAGGAAGAAACCCAAATAGGGTAGTTGCTTTAATCACTGTTACCACTAATTTTCTGAGAGCAGCAAAGCGCGTCTAAGAACTCCAATAAATCTATACTAAATTTTATATGTCCCATACATATTTTCTGGGAAAAAGGGCCCTTGAGCTTTGAACACAATCTCAAAGGAAACAGTGACTAAAAAAGGTTAAGAACCTCTTGTTGAAGGGTTTGCTTTATTGAACGGAAGAAACAGTTCTCCCTCTCCCCTCCACGCTAGGTATAACCAGCCTTCCGGATGTGCCGCCTTTGGTATCACCCAAGATCTCGGGATGGGTACCCATCCCTGCCTCCACTGCCTGGTTTGCTGGTTACCCTGCTCTTTGGTTCTGTTTCTCCATGTGTGTTTCTGCAAGCTGCCTCAATGTCCCCCTTCCTCGGCAGTTGTCCTACTCTGTGTCCCTGAAATAAGAGCGGTTCCTCAGCGGCTGCCTCATTTGGGTGAGACCCACGTGACACTCATCACATTTGTCAACCTCCCCTTTTTCCTCTCTACTCTTTTGGGGCCACTGGCCTTTGTCCCGTGCCGGAGAGGTAGCCCCCCCATCCCCCGACTCTTTACCCTCTTCCTGGTTGGGTTTGGCAGATACTTTCACGCATGTCCCGTCATGTTCCTGTCCTACCATTCCCAGGTAGTGTGAAATTCTTTTCCTGGCCCACTCGAAAGATGTGAGAAAGAAATGGTGCCTGAAGTGCGCTCTCTGATCCCCCGAAAAGAATATTACACATAACTACTAAGCGCTTTGTGTTTGGGTCCATGATTCCGACATATGACGTGGAGAAGCATAGTGCCCTGCACCTGCCTTGACCATGGCCTCCTGAGAGTCCCCAGGGCCACCAAGCCCCCCATTCCAAGTGCTCTCCTTGAATGTGACTCGGCTCTTTCCACAATCCGCCCAGCCTGGGTTAGGGAATGGGAGCTCTCTACTATATTCTTCTCCACAATATTCTAAAACCTCCTCTCTGTCCTTCTAGAGAGAGCGCAAATGGGTAAGTTTTTTCCCCCTAAAACTTGCTTAAAATCAGCGCGTCGGGCCCCGGGGCGCCCGGGATGTGAGGGCGGGGAGGTGGTTGTCGGGGCGGTCCGCGCCCCCACGGCGAGGTGCACGGAGTTAGCTCGGCCCAGCAAGCGGCGGAGGGAGGCCAGCGAGCGGGGTCTGCGAGCGGAGGCCCGGGCGGCGGCGTCGTCCCCGGGGGCAGGCAGGCCGGCCGGGCCCGGGCCAGGGCGCTGCGCCGCGGCCTCCGCGCCTCCTCGGGGCGCCGCGCGGCCAGGCCGGCGGCGGCCCCCGGGGATGGCGGCGGCCGGGCTCCGCCAGCAGGTGGCCCTGGGGTCCCAGCGGCACCGCCCCCTCCGCCGGCGCCCCTCCTCCCGCGGGGGCGGTCAGCGCCCCGGCCGGCTCTGCACCCGCCGCCGCCCTCCCCGCAGCCCGCCCGCCGCGTCTTCGGGGCCGCCGCCGCCGCCGCCGCGACCGCAGGCTGAGCCCAGGCGGGCCGGCCGCCCCGAGCCGCCCCCCGCCTCCGCCGCCGCCGCCGCGCCCCGGCCCGGCCCGCTCCCAACGGAAAGTTGGGCTGCGGCGGGCGGCGTCTGGAACCCGCGGGCCGGCATGAGCGGGGGCCGCGGGGGCGCCTAGGGCACCGGGAGGCGGCGCCGCGCGGGGGCAACTTCGCCCGGGAGCCCACGCCGCCGGGCCCCGCGCCTGCAGCCCCGAGCCGGCTCGCGGTGGTTCCTCCCGTCCCGCGGCCTCCCCTCGCCGACTCCAGGCGCGGACCTTGGTCCCGGCGGCTCCGCCGCGGTGACACGAGCCCGCGCCGCCGCTGCCGCTGCCGCCGCTGCCGCTGCCGCCGCTGCCGCCGCCTCCTCAGCCCCCGCCGCCGCCTTCCCCGCACCATGGAGTTCTCCGAGAGGAAAAGAAGCAGGAAATCCCAGAGCTTCAAACTGGTGAGCCGAGGTAAGCGGCCGCCGGGGCGGCGGGGGCAGGCAGCGGGCGCCGCGCCCTCGGCCGCCCGCGGGGGTCCACGCTGGGGGGCGCGCCCTCCCGGAGCCCCCGGTCCTTCCCGGTCCCCCGGTGCCTCCGCCGGGCTGGCAGGCAGGGCCGCGGCCGCACACGCCGGGCGGCGGGGAAAGTTGTGCGGGGGGAGCAGGGATGTTATTTAACGTAAACAAGTCGGAGGGCAGCTCAGGAAATTAGCAAACAATGACACCGGGGGGCCCGAGCCCTCCTCGGGGCGCCTCCGGGGCAGGGCTGGGGCGGCCGCGGACCTGCCTGGCCATCAGGCCGAGCGTGGACCCTCGGACCTGAGATTTGCTGTTTTTGTTTTCTGGGGTCTTCCCCCTTCCCCCCGCCAAGAGAAGGAGGAAAAAGGATGACCGTTGTTGTTCTTTTTAAGAAGGAGAAAGAAGCTCACGCCGTGTCCAAGCCCAAGGCGGAATTGTTGACATCCAACATCTCTAGCTAGCTGATTTGGGTTGGAAAGGTGTTTTAGACTAGATCATATAGCAGTCAGATAAGCATCCTTTAAAAAAAAGAAAAAAGAAAAGAAAGAAAAGAAATCCATCTAGTTTCTGACGAATTAACAGGTGTACACCACACTCTAGGGTTTGTATTTTGTCAGGGAGGGGAAAGTGGAATACAGTCTTGTCTGTGTTCAGTTACTTGTTAAGAGTCTTTATCTTCCTGATTTGACTTTTTTTTTTAAAAAAATGATAACTCAAGAGCCATCGTGAAAATATATCTCAAAATGCATTGTCATCTTTAATTAGGGGCAGGTGACTTTTTTCATTGTAATGTCACAAGTCCTCATATTGAGTTTAGACCCGCTCTGTTTAAATGTCGTCTTTTAATCAAGTTGAGGTCAAAGCCAAACCCCAACCTGTCCACTTTTCCTCTGTCGTTTTCTCTAGCATTGGCATCAGGGTAGAAACTCCAACAACCTGCAGAAGTCACGTGTAAACTGATGAAAATTAGTGAAAAAATCGTGGACAATTGCAAGTAATCGAATTTTTCAAACTGAGCTAAGCTAGCTAAGATGTGGATTTGGTTCATCTGAAAATGCTTTGATTATAGGCATTTTGAAGATCCATTCTTATCTGCCTCCCCTAATTTAGTTTGGATACTGTTTAATGAAAGAGGCCTGAAATAGTTTCACGCATTCAAAATACTTGGCTCTTCCCACTTTCTGAGTAAATTTTTTTTTCCACATCCGTGTTGATTACTCAGTTACTTGGACTTTTAAAAGTCTCTGTCTGGGTGATTGCCCTGTTGGTGCTATCTGATTCATTCAGGAATGTAAGCTGCTTTCTTATTGATGACCTCAGAGAACTTAACTGCTTTATCTTAAAAGTGAGAGTAGTTTTGTTGACTTTGTCCTGTGAGGTCTAAGGCCAGAGAAAGGGGACTAGGTGTTAAGGAGGAACCTCTATTTTCATGCCTTAGTGACCCTGCTTTTCAAAAATAGAAGCAAAAATGCAGTAGCCTCCATAGAGAAGCTTGTAAAATACTGTATTTGAAACTTTGACTGACGTAGCAAGTTTTTCCTTTTTCCTTTTTTCTTTTTCTTTTAATTATAGGTCTGATTCTTCTCTTTCTCTGCAGGTGCAGTTTTAGAAAATAAACTTGCATATTAAATAAAGTGCAGTAGCTGAATGCGAAAGAGTCACTTGTGTGAAAGATGAAAATCTTGCTTTCTTATCCAAATCATACTACATTTGAAATAACAAATCAGTATTTTTCATGTGTGCTTGCCTTTAAGCTGCTTAAAGGCTGAGATTTTCTGGGTAAACTGAGAAAACTAGAGTGCTGGCTAAACTTTAAAGCATACTGTTGATATGCTGGTGAAAATGGGTTGTGAAGAGAAATTTGGAAACCTCCCCTGCTCTATGATTGGGCAAACATACTTGCCACCTCAAAGAAAAAAAGCCTAAAAATTGGCATCTGTGGGTACAATTTACCGTGAACATGGTGTGATCAAGCAAAGCTGTCTTCTAAAGCCAAAGTAATCTTTCAAGTTTGCGTACTCCAGAATAAGCAAAGTTTTAGGAATTATTATTGACTACAAATTCTGTGATTATTTCAGTTCTCAAAAAGTTTATTTATAAATTATAGAGTATACAAACTAAATAGAATGAGATTCTAGACTTGACTGCTTATTCCTATCTTGAGGTCCTTAGGATTCTAATTTTTGGTTGTTTTCTCATGCCAGATTATCACCACGAGGTGTATAAGATCCCAGAATTCAGCAACGATGTTAATGGGGAGGCCAAAGAGACACAGCCCATTTTTTTAGGTAGGTTCCTATGTCAATTAATACCTCAGCAAAACATCGTGACCATTTGCAATTAGGGGGAAAAAAGGAAATTGTTCAGGAACGGGAAATGTCTGCCATTGCTTAATGTATGACATTCTTTTCAAGACCTTTTATTTTACAGATTGCCAATATATCCCTTATTAACATTGCTAAAAGTTGTAATTTCAGACATAAATGTTTATTAGTGTCTACACACAGTGCTAATTATCACTCACTCACAGAGCCAGATGCTGACTGTGCAGTTTTGTGGCTCTGCGCTCACCCCATTTACATTGCATATTCGTTGGCATGCTTCACTGGCAATAGTTTGTGTAATTGGGGTATTACATCTTTGACATCTGGATAACAGAAATTCAATTTCCAGGAAGCTGCTATTTGTTTGGTTTTGCTTCTGCCTTGGGTGGGATAGAGGATTAATGTGCTGTCTTATAATGTCCCTTCACCTCTGTGGCCCAGTTGCTAATCCTGCCATGACAAAATTAAATTAAATCTACAGTCAAAAAGCATAAGGAAAATAAAAGTGTGACTGTCTGCCTAACCAGCTCTTGATAGTGCTAGTTATCATCAAGCAGCTCCTCATTTTCCTGACTTTGTGCTCCTTTCACACCAGCATTTTGGGACAGGGGGAACAGCATGCTTTCCTCTTACCATCCTTGTTCCCAGCTCACGTCAGGGATGAGCAGAGCTAAAACAGCATTTCTGAGACTTTCCAGCAAGTGTAGCTGCATGATGGGTGGGTAGGTAGCCACAAACATTGCCACCTTTTCCATGTGCAGTGTTGGTGCAAATACTGTACAGGAAAGACTTTGGATGTGCAGTTTTTTATTTGCACACAATCAGCCAAAAATGAAACCACGTAAGATTTTGCCTCTAAGAGTGAAGTACCCATAAGGTCAGGGTGGAGAGTAGATGGTGGCGTTGGGCCTCAACCTTGTCCATCTTGGACCTCTGCAATCCCAGGTAGCAGGGTGAGGGCACAGCACTGCACAGCAAGGAAGCAGAACATGAGAGAGGTCAGAGCGAGAACGATTACAAGCAAAGCCACAATTACCCCATCAAGGGGGACTTCAGGTAGCAGGACTGCTGCTCAGACCCGGTGTGGGTCAGCCTTCAAACGAAGCTCTCGCCAGGATCTCTCTGGTTTTGCTTTGAGGGATAGAAAGGGTGGGTCGGGATGCATTGGGAAGAAGTCAAATATTAATATATACTTTAAGAGGAAAAATAGGAGGGAAATGTCAGCATTTCTTACATGAGCGATCATTGATAGCACATAGATCTTTCTGCTGAGGGAAAGAATATCACTGGGGCCAGCACTGCTCCCAGTACCTGTTTACTGTTAAGAGAGCTAGGAGCCAAAAGGTTAATAATCAAGTGAAATGCTGTGGCCCAGAAAGAGAATATTCTTGGATTCTAGTCTTTCCAGTCCCCTAAACTTGGTCAGTTGGAATTCTTTTTTTTTTTTTTTTTTTTTTGAGACGGAGGTTCACTCTTTTTATCCAGGCTGGAGTGCAATGGCATGATCTCGGCTCACTGCAACCCCTGCCTCCCAGGTTCAGGCGATTCTCCTGCCTCAGCCTCCTGAGTAGCTGGGATTACAAGCACCTGCCACCACGCTTGGCTAATTTTTTGTATTTTTAGTAGAGACAGAGTTTTACCATGTTGGCCAGGCTGGTCTCAAACTCCTGACCTCAGGTGATCCACCTGCCTCAGCCTCCCAAAGTGCTGGGATTACAGGCGTGAGCCACCGTGCCTGGTTGGTCAGCTGGAATTTTGTATTATCAAAGTACCACTCTATATAGCCATTCGAAATAACGAATTTACCCTTTAGTAGAAAATTTACGTTCACCATACAAAGGGAACATCATGTCCTTGATTTAGTTCTCCAGCAAGGCAGGCTTTCCCGCACTTTCTGTTGTGTACTACTAGAAAAGTGGTAAGGTCACTACGAAGGAAGTGAATTGTAAGGATAAGAGAGGGGAAGCTGAAGAGCAACAGGATGCTAGTGCCCAGGATTCAGTAAGCTGGAAACTCCCAGAGATGATAGACGTTGTTGCTTTTCTTCTTCCTAGTCCAAGTTGAGGAAGATGCAAGAATTCCAATGAAGGACCAGGCTTGAGATAGATACGCTTTCAAAGTGGTTGCTCCAGAAGGCCTTCAACATCAAGAGACAAAAGATTGAACAGCCTGGGAGTGTGCTGTGGGTTATTTTCAATCTTTTGCTCATTCTTGGGTCATCATGTAGTTGGTTCCCAAATAACATTTTTATTTTGTGATCTCTAGGTCAGTTAAGAAAAAATAACAGAAATTGTCACAGCAACATGATTTCTGGAGCAATTGAGAATAGTTACTGATGGCATCTGAGAGTAGGAATTTTTTGTTGACAGTGTTATAGTTTATAGTTTTATAGTTACACTTTTCAAAACATAAAGATTTCAATTATGTTTATTTTATAAATTGCTAAAGCCTGTCCATAAAGATGTAGAATTATATGGGAAGCTTATGACATCCAAGGGGGTTTGGTACCAAAATACTAGAACTCTTTCCCCTATAACAAAGTACTGACACACTGTCCCAGGGATGGTCTATAGGATTTTCTACATTCAAACATATGTGTTCCCTTTAATAGTATCTGCATCTATAAGATCAAAGTTTATGTTCTAGGTGAAAAAGAGTCTTCTAGAATGTGGCAGAGGTTCCCACATCAAGTCTACCTCTCTGGAACATGTTTAGGCTGTTAACGAACGTAGTGTATCTCACATGGTAGGGTAGCTCAGTAGTGTAAATGGCTTGGCCTCGTGCTTTAGGAATTACTCACATATTTTTAATTGGATAATAGGGTCAGAAGACGTTACTTTACCCTGTGGACATTGACTTTCTCAAGCTGGCTGTGATGGGACTACAGTGAAGATTTAAGCACTGTTTGAAAGGAAACAGTTCTCTTAAATCAGTTCAGCCAGTGTCTTTATAGAAGATACTCTGAACTCAGCACTTTTCTGGAATGGGAGTGGGGTCAGAGATAGTCACAGAAATGGATAGGACAGGGACCTTGTTCTCAGGGATTCAGATCCAGCTGGGGAGGAGACAGGACAAATTCAGGAAACGGAGCAGTATTCAGCAATCGTAAGAGCTACAGTTGTTTGAGCACTTAACTGTGTGCAAGGCAGCACACTGAGCACTTTACATGAAAGACCTGATTTGCTCTTTGCAGCATGTCTGTATGAGTTACCGTCATCCCCATTTTGTAGATGAGCCTAGAGATGTCGAGGTGACCTGCCCAAGGTCTCTCAAGTAGGAAGTGCCACAGGTAGGGTTCCAGTGCAGGTCTGTCTGAGCTTTGAACACTCCACTTAACCGCCTGTCTGTGAACGGTAATTAAATGACAAATGTGAATGATCAGGGCAACAGCAAATGCAGAGTTGGAAGGGGTAGAGGGGAGGGCTCTGCAAAGCAGAGATGTTGAACTACAGGAAAGATTCGCTCCTGTATTTCTCCTCCCTGGAGAAGATTCCAGGTGGGAAGGGTGAGGGAGCCGCCAATAAGCATCATTATAGCTCGACCATGAGTGTTGCACTTATGGTTTAGAAAGTGCTTTCACATCTGTCTTCTCGGGATTTTTACCATATACCTGTGGGGTAGTCAGGGCAGATATAATGATTCCTATAATGATGGGAACCGAAGCTCAGTTACCTGACCTCACGAATAGCAGAGGCCGGAGTAAACCCAGGCCTCCTCTCAAAAGATCTTTCCCCTCTGCCCTGTGGAGCCAGGCAAAGCCAAGGCTCATGGAGGAGGCCTTAGCTGCTAGCAGGGCACTTTTAGAAGGATTTTAATGAGACAATTAATTTATTATTCATAGCAGTAATGCAAATATAAAATGAAGTCTCTTTTCACACATTGGATTTTGGGTTAGATTTATCATAGTATGTACATTGGAAACATGTTTATCTGTCAGGTGTTCAGTCTCATTCATTTATTCATTCAACAAATTCATTGCGCTCCATTTACATCCATGCCAAGCCCTGTTCTAGTTATTCTTTTTAATATTCAGTTCAGTTATTCAGCTTCCCATAGATGAAGCACACAGTGTGGCAGCCATGCCAGCTGAGCAGGGTCGACATCTCTGAAACTCTGAAGTCTCTTTTCAGTGGCTTTCTTGATGACAGCTGCACCCACTAGAGTCCCCAGAATCTCCCCAAAGAGGACACACTCGAACAATTCCTCTGCACTTTTACAAGTTAGAGAGTTATCTCCCAGCCACGACATCGTTCTCCTCCCTGGAGGACTCGGCAGGTCCGTCTGTAAAATGGAGGAGGTCTTCACCTGGAGTCAGGTGGCCTGGGTCCCACCCTGGTTCTTGGTTGGTTTCAAAAGGCTTGGGAGCTGAGCCCCACTTCCAAGAGGAAGAAGGGTCTAGTGTGTCACCATACCTGGGGCAGGAGTTGCAACCTCAGAGGAAATGAAGGGCCAAGGGGGAAAAGTGGAACCCCAAAATCCCAGTATGTGGAAGCAAGTGCTTCCCCTCTGTTCCTCCCCACAAAAGCTCCACCTTCAGCACCCTGGCCCCACTGTGTCCTTGTGTCCCTGTGCTCCTTCTTGTAAGTCCTCTCCTTTTTTGGTGGTGGAATGAATGGGACAGATGACCAGGAGTGTCTCTTGGGGTTAGGTACGTGGCCAGTAATAGTGTTATTTACCCAGAGCTTGCTGTGTGCCAGCACTATGTAAAGGACTTTGTAAATGTTATCCCATTAATTGTCCCAAGAAACGTGTTGTTTTTCCCTCTTTATGGATGAAGAATTTGAGGAGTTCACAGAGTTACTCAGTGCCAGAGCCAGGATGCAAGCCAGGGTCTGCCTGTCTCCAAAGCAAGCCCTTAACCGCATGGCAGGCTTTGTTCAAACGTGCTCCCAAGCGGAACCCCCAGTATGTCCAGCAGATCAAAGGGGAGCAGAGCTGCTTGAAAAAAGGTCGAGGAGACCCAGAGAGCCTTACGTGCATTTCACATTCCTCTGTGGGCCTCTGCAGAATGTTAGGGCGCCCCCAGTCACTGTTTTAAAACTCCTGGTCTAGACAGTTCCCAAGGCTTCATACAGCACCTGATTTGTCCGATTATACTCTAGGACCGAAAAATGGCTTCAAAAATAATTGCAAGCAAAGTCAAAGTTTGGAGAGCCTCTTGAGGGAACTTAAATACCGATGGCTTCTTTCAATTTATGTGCACATAAACATATGTTTCGGTAGCTGTGGATGCAGAACTTGGTCGTTCTCACGTATGACTTGTTGCCTAAAGTCTGGGAGGCATTTGTAGTTAGGCCATCCGGGCACTCCATCTCTCATTTAGTTTCTATTGCAGCTACACTGTGAGGTTGCTGTTGGGTCGGCCTCATGTTTTACAAATGGGAACCTCAACTCAGGGATGAAAGTGATTTGCCCAAGGCTACATGGTCATTAGTAGCTGACCACACTTTCCAGTGGGGTCTCCTGACATCCACTTCTGAGTTCTTCACCTTGTCAGAGCTGCCACAGCTCCTTGCTCCAATCTGCCCACGTGGGCTGATCTCAGTACGTAACTTCTCACCCTCTCTCCTGCTTAGAGACTTCAGCTCCCTTGTCATGGGCCTAGAATCAAGGCAAAGCCCTTCACTGAGTGTCTAGTATGCACGGTCTGACCCGACCCATCTCCCTGTCCACAGCTTTCATGTAACCGCCTTCCCTTGAGCCAACCGGCTTCCTAAACCAGGACTTCCAGGTGCAGAGGAGGCACCACAGGGAGAAGGAATGGGGTGGGCAGGAGCTATGGCCTGGGAAAGCCCCTCCTGCTGGGAAGAAAGGAGCTAGGGCTTGTTTACTGCCTCCGGTGTGTGCTGGGCACTTCCGAACTTTATCTCATTTAACACTGAGACCAGCTCTGAGAAGGTATTGTCATTTCTACTTTTATATGAGAAAAATGGGCCTTTAGAATTGTTAATGTACGTAAGGTCATAGAACTAGGAGACAAGAGCCTGGATCTGGAATTTGGACATGGCCTGGCCACGATCTTTCCACTGTACCATGCTGCCTTGGAGGAGTGAGGCCCCGCTCTCCTCTCTCTTTCAGTTCGCTGTCTGTTTCTAAACCGCCCTTCCAGCCTTCTCTTGCTCTTCACCCTCACTGAAAACATGTGCTGTGTCAAACTGATCACATCATTCCCTCCTAAAGCACCTTCCCATTCTCATCTCTGCCATTTCACTGCGGCTCCTTCTCCATCCTAGCCTCCTACCATTCCTTACCCCATTTCCAAACTCCTTCTAGTAAAATCCTGTCTCTCCTATCGGTTTTTAAAGCTCAATTCAAATATTACCTTGGCCTGTAAGCCGCCTCAGTTTACATAGCGTAGCAGAGAGAAGTTGGATTTAGAGTCAGAAAACCTTGCTTTGAATCTCAGGCTCCAGTTCTAACACCTTGGATAACACTCTTGAGGGGTTTTCCTCATCTTCTGTAATAGAAGAATAACGTTGGCCCTCCTGACGCACATGCGAAATCCTGTATGGTAAAACGCTTTTTCAAACTGGAAAACACTGTATTTCTGTTTTTATTACCCCATTCTCTCTCCTTCTCCCAGATTTAGGAGTTATCTTTTCTTTTTTTTTTTCTTTCTTTTTTTTGAGACGGAGTCTCGCTCTGTTGCCCAGGCTGGAGTGCAGTGGCGCCATCTCGGCTCACTGCAAGCTCCACCTCCCGGGTTCACGCCATTCTCCTGCCTCAGCCTCCCGAGTAGCTGGGACTACAGGTGCCCGCCACCACACCCGGCTAATTTTTTTGTATTTTTTTTAGTAGAGACGGGGTTTCACCATGTTAGCCAGGATGGTCTCGATCTCCTGACCTCGTGATCCACCTGCCTCAGCCTCCCAAAGTGCTGGGATTACAGGCGTGAGCCACCGTGCCCAGCCTAGGAGTTATCTATTCTTCCGATCACTTGGGCACTAAGTAATAACATTACTCTTTTCTGGCACTTACCATGTGATGCCTAATATTTACTTATTTTTGTGTGTGGCTTTATTGTGCTCAAGTCACCCTGCAGATCCTCCTCCGAAACTTAACAGCTGCCACATTGAAATGTGGTTGTTTATTTTCAGGACTCTCCTAATCGCTCCTAATGTAAATTGTCAGATCCTAGAGGGCAAATGTGACCTGAGTTCATTTTGGATCCTTTGAGAACCTAGCACAATGCTGTATCCGTAATAGGTACTCTGCTGATAGGTCCTCAGATATGTGATTTAAATGCATGAATATATTGGACACTGTCGTTAGGACTCTGAAGATTTATTGTAAAGTATACTGCTATATTGAGATTTTAGAGACATTTAGTGAGCCAAACTAAAAGATGCCTCATTTAACTTTAAGCTTCTGTAACATACTAGAGTAGAAATTTGGGATTTCTGATGTTGATTTGTGAGATACAACTTCTTTTTTCAAATCCAGAAGACACCGAAAAGGAGAACTCACATATGAAAGCCAGTGACATGTTGGAAACCAAAATTGGAAAATCACATTTGTTCTGCTTGTTCCTTATTCTGCTCTAACACAGGTACAGCTTTAGAAAGGTGCTTAAGATAGCGCTGGCCCATCTGTAAACTGATGTTGACATTGTTGACTTCTCAGATTTCACATGAAGCAAGCTTTTCTACCTTAATTTAAGGACATAAAGCCATGTATTAAAGATCACACCAACAAACCTTAGTGCCTGTCGGGTTTCTGAGGGAGTTGGGCCCCTGCACACAGCCACCGAAGTTGTACCTGCCCAAGGGGGCCCTGTGAGGGGCCAGTGGGGCTGACATGCAGCCTGCAGCCTGCTCGCCACGGCCCGCATGGGGGCAGCAGCTGTCCTGGGGAAAAGCCACCTCTTTCTGTTTCTCAGGAAGGCTCATTGTGGTTCAGCAACTGCCCTATAAATGAAAAGTGTGATATATTGTGGTCTTTTACTTTTCTTACACTGGTCATGACCAAATCATTGAAAAAAAATAATAAATTCATGAAGGATAGAATCTAAGGAAACGTGTTGACAATTCAGCCTCCCTGTGATTTTGTTTTCTGAGGAAAATCATATGGCCATCTATACAGTGAAATAAGGATTTTGAACCAGTGTGTTTTGCATCTCATAGTTAAAAATAGACCTGGGATGTTGGCGCGGGAAGTCTGTTATCCTTATAACTAGCAGATTATCGGAGAGAAAGTGACCTGGACAGCAGTGCCTCAGCAGTAGCAGGGGAGCGGGGCTGGCGAAGGGCAGAAACCTGAACCTGCAGCCATTGCGATCCACACGGTGCCTTTCGGCTCCTGAGAGTATCGTGTGCAACTTGGGCTGCCCCTCTGCCTGAAATTCTTTTCCATTTTTCAGAGACAGGCTCTCGCTCTGTTGCCCTGGCTGGAGTGCAGTGGTGTGATCATAGCTTACTAAAGCTTCCAACTCCTGGGCTCAAGGTACTCAGCCTCCCAAGTAGCTGGGACTTCAGGCATGCACCACCATGCCCAGCTAATTTTTTTATTTTTTGTAGAGACAGCGTCTCCCTCTGTTGCCCCAGCTGGTCTTGAACTGCTGGCCTCAAGCAATCCTCCAGCCTTGGCCTCCCACAGTGCTGGGATTATAGGTGTGATGCTTGAAATTCTTTATCATCTAAGTGTACCCAAACTCCCTAGCATGACAGCTGAGACCCTGCATGAACTGCCTCCGTCTACTTCTTCGAGCTGATTCCTGACACTCCCCTCTTGCCTCCATGTGCAGCAGCCATACCAGACCACTTTTCATTCCTGCAGCAGCTCTCCTTCCTTATGTTTTAGGCTGTGCACTTCCTCACCTCATTGACATGCTTACCACTCTTCTGCAAAAAAAAAAATTCTACAAAAAAATACAAAAATTAGCCAGGTGTCATGCTGCATAGTCCCAACTACTCAGGAGGCTGAGGTGGGAGGATCAGTTGAGCCCAGTGGGTGGGAGTTGCAGCGAGCTGAGATAGCACCATTGCACTCCAGCCTGGGCGACAAGTGAGATCCTGTCTCAAAAAAAAAAAAAAAAAAGCCACCAGAAAACCCTAATAGGGCAACAAATGCTTGCTTAATTTATTTGTTCTGCTTGCTTCTTAAAGAATATAACCAGATATTCCAATCAACACTTATTTTTTGTATGGTCACAAAAATCTTCAATGGACACTGAGAAATACAGTCTTTTACTTAAACACTTACATATAATGGTCTTTGGCACTGGAAATCCAAAAGCCTCCTTTGGTATCAACTCTTCAAAGCCTGTATGTATCCTGCTATCATCTAGCCTGATCTCTTTGCATTTTTGTTTGCAGAACAGTGTCTGGCACATTCTAGGAAATATCATAAGTATTTGTTAAATAATTTTTTTTTCCTTTGAGTTAGAGTCTCGCTGTGTCACCCAAGCTGGAGTGCAGCGGCGCGATTTTGGTTCACTGCATCCTTCACCGCCAGGTTCAAGCGATTCTCCTGCCTCAGCCTCCCGAGTAGCTGGGACTATAGGCACGTGCCACCACGCCTGGCTAGTTTTTGTATTTTTAGTGGAGACGGGGTTTCACCATGTTGGCCAGGCAGGTCTTGAACTCCCGACTTCAAGCGATCTGCCTGCCTTGGCCTCCCAAACTGCTGGAATTACCAGCGTGAGCCACCGCGCCCAGCCTGTTTTCTATTTTAATAGGTAGCAGTCTCCCTCCTTTAAAGTCTAACTCTGAAATAGGATGCACTCCTGTGCCCCTGTGTGTCACCAGCCTCCGCGCCACCCCGGGCCTCGCAGACTCACATGGCACAAGGGACAGCACCCCTGGAATCTTGCAACACCAGGGCCCTGGCATGTGCTCTGCCGGCCTCTTTGCCTAGAGTGACCTCGACTACCTTTGCCTCCGTGATCTTTTATTTATCCTTCCAGTCTCAGTTTGAATTCCTTCAGGGCAAGACTCTGAGTGTCCAATGCTGTATTCCTACTGTAGTATTCCTTGGTGCAGAGTAGACTCTTAATAACTATTCTTGAATAAATGAATGAGTTCCGTGTTAAACCATGTTAAAAGGTAATGTGCCTCCAGTTATCAGTAGATCAGAGTGAGACGATTGATTGAGATGAGGCCGTTTCCTTGTGCAGGCTTGTCCCATGCGGCGCATGAGGTCTTCATCCCACTCTCCACATGTTGGCAGCGTAAACGTACACCATTGTTGATAGCACCCCGTCTACACCATTGTGTCCGTCAAATGCACTCTCTATGAATGTAAGCTACAGCATGGTCCTTGGCAGGCCAGGGTTGTGGGATCAGTCATCCTGAAGGCAATTTGACTTTAAACAGGAAAAAAACTATTCCATTGCCATCAACTGAACACACCACCCTCGTCCATTGTCTCACAGATGCCAGGATGAAGGGGGAGCGGATGAGAGGCTGTGCTGAACATTTTGGCCGCGTGACCATAGTTAGGAGAGAGAGGTCAAAGGGCACATTCCACTGGGGGTCAGGTTACTGTGCCTCATTTCTCTACAAAGGATAGCTTATTGCACGCATATTTCATAATATGTTTTCAAATCATTACAAAGTTGAGAGACATTTTCTTTCAGTATTCCATACAACCAATATCCTTGTAAATAAGAATCTATAAAATTGTTTTCTTGGTATTGCATGTTTTTCAAACATGCAGAAATATACTGTTATTCAGATTCCAAGGGGTTTACAATGTTTTTTACTTGAAATCAAATTTTATATCTGAAAGGTTAATGGAGAAAACTAATTATACTGCTATCTGGTAACCAAATGTGTGATGAGACATTTGTCTCTGTAATTAACAGCAAGGAACTTTTATAGTTCCATAAAATCGAATGCTACATAGAGTATTCTGCGAGCATTTGTTTGGCTGAGGTGTCCAAAACAGAGATGTTTATGGATGATATAAACTTGAGCTGAAATGTAATGCAGGTGTCTGTGTCTCTCGCAGCATTTCTCATTGTTGAAATGGAAGCCAAAAGATTAATACCTTTACATTATCATGATAAAATAAGTGATGTGTTCTTGGAACAGTGGAACGCTACATAAGTTACTCAGTGATTCCAAGAATTTATTCTGTTCCAGGAATAATATCCTTAACAATTTATTTTTATAGAAAAAGTTGATGCAATAGAATAGACTATGAAGTTGCTTGCATGGTGAATGGAATTATATCTCAAGTATGACTTTACACCTACATAGGAAATGTAAAGAACCCCACAGAAGCGCAAGGTTCAGGTACCTTTTAAAAGTAAAAAGTCAGGAGATGCAAAAGTAAGGTTCCTCTGTTGCATTAACTCATTCTCATTGCACATAGATAATTTTTTCAATTACTAGCAAGACTTTAATGGGTACCTTAATATGCACAGCATGCAATGTGCCTGAGGAGTTGCTGCAGGAATATTAGCTTTAGCGTTTCTCTACAAGTTCAGTGTTCCTCTTCTTAACTCTCCGCTGGGAGGGAGATCCTGGTGCCGGCACACGGTAGAGCAGGGTGGCCCACGTCCGACCCAACTTCCCTGGTTTACTTGATCATTCTGGACAGGCAGCTTTGTCTTCCCATTTGTCGAGGCAGGGGCAACTGAATTTCCCACACGTCATCTGCAATGAACTGGAAAGAAGATGGAGATGAGACATGTCCCTCGGGGAAGGCTTTCATGGGAAGATGTGGCCGAATTTAGGCACCAAATGGCTTCTGCTTGCCACCCCGCTGCACACTCTACAGAAAGAAGGAGAACTGCACGGATGCCTCCGATGTGGGTTTATCTCTTGCACATCAGTGGTGGTGGTTTTCCGTCAGCTTTCCTCAACCGTATCTTCTCGTCATATCTGTTATTAGAATTGACGTTAATATATTCCTATTGTAGATATTTATTGAAGCCAGTAGGCCAGGCTGGGAGGTTGTAGAACCCACTAGGTTGTGATAAGAGAAATTAAGGATTCTGTGGGAACATGGGACAGGAGCCCTCCCAGGCCTGGGGAATTAAGGAATACGGCCCTTGAGAAAATGAAACTGAGACCTGAAGGGCCAATGTGGTGTTGGGGCTGAGGACACAGAAGGGGTGGCATGTGGGGACCAGCTTCTGAGATACAGGAAAAGGCCTTTGGCAGGGCCAGGGCTGCACAGACAGTCGCTTCTTGGATTCTGATTGAATTGTCTTGAATAGAGTCCCGGGCACTTTTATTTTTTAAAAGTTGCCCCAGTGGTTCTCATGTGCAGCCAGACCCAAGAGCCAGATGCCACCATAGAATAGGAGAAATGTGGCAGGAGCCAGGGCTGGAGCAACAGCAAGGAGGCCCAGCCTCTCGGGGAGCTGCAGCTCCATCCTGGGGATATTGGCACTCCATGGAGGTCCGCAGTGTAATTCGATTTGCATTTTTGAAAGATCACTCTAGCTTCAGGGTGGAGTAGAATGGGAGGGGAGCAATCCTGAAGGCTTGTGGCAGTAGCCCCATGGAGTGATACCAAGAATGGGGTGGTGGTGGGGAGAAGCAGTAGAATTCTAAAGTAATTTAGAAGTTACAAGAAGCAGGACTTGGTGACGAATCAGCTGTGGGAGGGAGGGGAGGAGGAATAACTCCTAGGTTTTTGGCTCAGACAGCTGAGTTGGCCCATGTACTAAGGCTAGGGGATGGTCGTGATAAAATAACATTTTTAGACATGATGTTAAGGTTGCTTTTGAGATGTCCAAGTGAGGCTATCTGGTAAGCAATTGGATGTATGGCTCTGGAGCCCTGAGGTGGAATCTGGGCTGGAGTCCTCTTGTGCAGGTAGTCAGTGGAGCCAGGAGAGAGGACGGTGAATCCAGGAAGAGCATGGAGGACGAGAAGACTGCCTAGGCCAGCGTCCTAAAACTGTGGACACTGAAGGCAATGTTTTGCACACCAGTGGTTGTGACCTGTAAGTAGGTCATGATATCAATTTAGTGGATTGTCACCGACACTACAACAGTAACAATAGCAATAAGAAGAAGAAGAAAGAAATAGAGTAGAATAGAAAACATCAAAGTACACTGCATGCAGGAAAGACAGATTCCTCACACTGTTGTTAAGAGTTGTGTGCATGGTATACATATCTGTATGTGCGTTCTAGGTCATCATGAAAAATGTATTTTTTGCTGTGAACCATGGTCAGAAAAGTTTGGAAGACACTGATTTAAGTTACTGTTGCCTTAGCCCCAGAGATTTCCCACGAGACTCACTCAGGGAAGGCTGCCATTCTCCAGGTCCCTTGGGGCCCAAGTTATCCAAATCCCTTGAGATCCTTGGAAGAAAAAGCCATTGTGAATGTGATCTGTTTGTCATCATTATTAATAATATGTACATTGAAAATGAAATTGTGCAATAGCATGTGTGTTTAACTCAGAATATTTTAAAAATTTAAATGACTGAAGAAATATAATCCAGATCGTACTTAATGATGTTCATACTTAACTGATCCATGAGGTAGATGTGGAATTAACATCTCAGGAAGGAGGGGAGATTTGCATTTCTGTGTCAAGACTCTCTTAGAAGTTTTCTGTACAGGAGAGCAGAGGATCAGCATTTCAACTTACATTGAAAAGGGCGTCTCTTTGCAAATAGTAAATTGTGAACATTTTCTTGTTGAATGAAGGCAAGACTTGTGTTACTGTAGGAATTCAGAAGCAGCTCTTAATCTACAGTCTTGTTCTATTTTTCCTAGGTGTATTGTCAGCCTTTGGAGACTTTTGCTGTGTGTTTCATAGAATCGTGAACACAGACTTTTATTTCGCTTTTCTGAAGTTTTCATCTTTGGCTTTTGTAGAACTAACAGGCTTCACATGGACCAAGTTTCCAGTTTGTTTTTTTCTAAGAGACAGGATCTCGCTATGTTGTCCAGGCTGGAGTGCAGAGGCTGTTAACAGGCGTGGTTGTAGCATACTGCAGCCTTAAACTTCTGGGCTCAAGTGATCCTCCTGCCTCAGCCTCCCAAGTACAAATTTCCAACTTAAAAGGAAATAGCCTCATTCTTCTTAATTTGGAGCAGTGCAACTAAGTCAGAATCTGTAAAGATGGTTTGGTCCAGTGATTTCCTTGTTTCCACCCTGTGTGCTAACATTCCTAGGTAGTTAAGGTACCAGCTAGTTCACACGGCACCCACGTCTTGTTGTGACAGCTCCCTGGACACCGGCTTGATAGTCTCATGAATGGAGTCCTTCCTGCCATTCAGCTAGTTCCTTGAGCAGCTTAGTAGAGGAGTGTAGCACAGGGACCCAGAAGCCTGATGCATCCAATGCAGATCTCTCACCTCACAGTCTCTGCATCTCCTGGGTAAAATGTATACGCCAGTGCTCGAACCTCTTAGCTTGGTGTCAGGATTCAATGTAGGCAGGGTGCTTACCAGAGGCCTGGTACATACTAAGTGCTCTGTAAGTGGTATTCATAGCTTTAACACTCTTTCCCTTAAATACATCCAAATTCCTTTTAAGGATATATGACTTGTAATGAGTTTCAAGAGAAAGTGGCCTTAGCATGTATTCCAGGGATTACAAAACGTGCCACACCCCAGCATCTCCCTGCTTGACTTTTCTTGCTGCCGTCTAGCTGCTGCTGAGTCAGTCGTTCCTGCCCAATTTCACTGTGATGTTTTCAGGTCCACAGCTACATCTACCAGTTGCCTTATACCCAGCTTGAGAATACCACAAAGAAAAGTTTGTAAATAATTCTTCTAGATCATTTTTCCTTCGAAACAGTCATATATATTCATTTTGAAACCATTTTTTAAACAATTTATAAAGCCAAAAACAAAATAAAAAGTAAAAGATCTCAGCTGGTCTGAAGTTAGTTAGTTACCTCAATTGATTGTTCACAGTGAGTTGTAGGTCAAACTCCTTCTACTGTTTCCCCTTCTCACTAATACACTTGACTAGTTATTTGGGGTTTTGGGATTGTTGTTTTTTTTGAGACAGAGTCTCACTCTGTTGCCCAGGCTGGAGTGCAGTGGCGGGATCTCAGCTCACAGCAACCTCCGCCTTCTGGGTTCAAGCGATTCTCCTGCCTCAGCTTCCTGAGCAGCTGGGATTACAGGTGCCTACCATCACACCCAGCTAATTTTCGTATTTTTTAAGTAGGGATGGGGTTTCACCATGTTGGCCAGGCTGGCCTTGAACACCTGACCTCAAGTGATCCGTCCACCTCAGCCTCCCAAAGTGCTGGGATTATAGGCGTGAGCCACTGTGCCCGGCCCTTGACTAGTTTGTTTTTTTTTTTAAATCCAATCACACTCTCCAGTGATAACCACTATTACCAATAGAGGTGTGTGTGAAATGTGTGTGTGTGTCACAGAAAAAGAAAATAGAATTATGCTATTTAACATGTTGCAACTTTTTTCACTTAACCTAATCTTTATTTATTTCATCCATATTGACTGCCTATTTGGAACCAGGCAGATTTAGCCCCTAGTTATCCTGTAGCGAATGAGATGATCATGATTTCCTTTCTTGAAGCTAATAATTTGTCTTTCACATAATTCCAAATGACTCTAGAAGGGTCTATTTCACTCTTTATAGATATGAAATGATATAATTTCGTTGTACTGCTGTACCATAATTCATTTATCTAATGTTCTGTTGATAAATGTTTACATTGTTCCCAATATTTCCCTTGTAAAATGATGCCGTAGTGAATATTCATAGGTAGTTGTTGGAATATTTCTGTAGCATAAATTTTGGTAAGTGGAATTCCCATATTCTGCCCCAAAAAGGTTTTGCCAAATTACATCCCTACCAACAGCCTATGAGAGTTACTGTGACCCTCAACTATCACCAAAAATGGGCTTTTTGAATCTATAATTACATAGAAAGGAAAAGAATTTTATGTTAATTTTCATTACATTAATAATTAGGGAGATAAGATACTTAAAATATTTATTGATCATTTTTTTCTTCTTGTGAATTACATGTTCATGTCCTTTGCCCATTTTTCCATCATTAGTATTCATCATCTTCTTTATTGATTTATAAGACCTTTTCCATGCATTTCAGATTTAACTCTTTGACTTGATTATTCTTGAATATTACTTGAAGTGGTGGTTTCAGACTTTGTTGCTTAATGTTAGATGCAGTTACTCATCAGGGAACACTGGACAGCCATGCTATATTGATTATAAAATAAAACTTTGCTTTCCACAATGTAAGAGCATTTGGAGGAGAAATAAGTAGACAAAAATCTTTGAATTCACTGAGTAGTTCTAACTGTGTCCTATCGCTCTTACAAAAACCTTCATTGATCTCCTGTCACTTTGAGGATGAAGTCAAAGTGTCAGGGTCCTTTCGTTTTTGACTTTGCCCCATTCATTGCCTTAACTCCAGCTAAGTTCGCTGATTCGCCATTGCCCACTTCACTTCTCTCTGCCCTCAAGCTTCGTTCAGTGCCGTTCTCTTTTCTCCTCCCCAAAGTGCGCGTGGAAATGCTGGTGTTGTTTATTGACCACCTCCAGTCTTGCCATCTTTGTGAGGCGTAGTCCTCCCAGGGTAAAGTGATCTCTTTTTCTCTCTGTAATTCCTGAAACACTTGTCACATGATTTCTAAGGCATTGATCATGCGTTCCCTCAGTTTTGTCTGTTCAGTCACGGACACCGTAACTGTGCTCCTGGGAAGTGTAGCTGGCGATGCTGAAGAGCCTGACTCACAGGCACCAGCCCTTGCCTCTGGGATGGACCAGCCCACCCACCCCTGGCCTTGCTTTTCAGCTGGCAAACATGTAACTGTGGGTGCCCAGTGCTGGGGCCCAGGGTCCGTAGGAAGCTGCACATCTTGGTGGATAGAAGATTGTTTTAAAATTAAATGCAAAAACAAAGAGAGTATAGGACAGTACTTGCATTCAGTTTTTAAGAGAAAACATAAGGACATCTAAGAAAATTGTTTGTTCCTTATTCCCCTCCTAGGACTCTGTCCCCAAACTTCTCATAGATACTTACTCTCCTTTGGCTTTCTGTGTTCTTTGAGGGAAAAGTTTGAGAAGCCGTGTGATAGCTCATTTTGCACAGCTGTTTCTTGCTTCATTTCCTGGTATTTCTTTGCTCTTTTTGACCCTAACTGCCCATCTCAAGCCCTTTGTGCCTTTTTGGCTTTCAGTACCTGTTTTCCCACTAGGATCCTTGGCGTTCCTTCTTGGTACCTGTCCTGGCTTCACATCTTCAGCCATGATTACAAAGTGCTCCTGTCCCCTGGCTGGGGTTGACCGCCGTGCCGCTTAGGCCTGCCCGTCGATCAGAAGAGTGCCATTATACTCTTAGAGCTGTGTACACACTCTTTTGTTTCCTGTGCTAGGCTGTAAACTCCTGAAGGGAAGAGACTGTGTATTACATTTTTTTTTCGGTCACATTGTGTCTCATAATTTAGTAGTAGTACAGTAAATATTTATTAAGTGGATAAGTGAACCTGATAGTATCTCAACAGATTTAAAAGGGTCTTAGCTATCCTTTAAATGTAAATGCCATGTATACATTGGGCTGCTTAATTATTTTCTATCTGTAGTTCTCAGCTGAACAGGACCCTCAAGCACGTGGAGATATATTTGTGTCTAGATACTCCTTTTCATGGTATTTGATTCATCCAATTAAATGATTCTATGGCCACTTTTTGGTCTTTCCTTTTCCGTGGCATTCAGCCTATGCAGTGTGGAGCCCTTGGAGTTCTTGAGCATCTTCCAAGGGCGGCTTCAGGAATCGGGTTCTGGCGCAGTCTCCTCAGCAGAGCTTTGCTCTTCTTTATTTATTGGGGTTCCACTTTAGATTGCACTTGGGAAAAAAAGGACTTGTTTGGAAAACCACCACCCTGTTCCATAGACTGATGCTTTTCACACTGTTTTTTGCTGAGTTCGACTCCCAGTCTTGTGTGTCCCTCATAAACATGGCTGTTGTCCCTGCAGGCTGCCAGCTGGGACCTTGATGGCATCTGCATGTTAATGGGGTCTGGAAAGAGGTGCCAGCCTCAGGTCCTCAAAGCACAGGGTCTGTTTCAGATTCCTCTTCTTTCAGCTCACTTGTGGAGGTTGTGCAGAGAGCTGCCCGCAAGCCTGAAGGCCCTGGCTCCGTGCTCCCACCTGTCTCCCATTTGACAGGCCGCCCATCAGTCTATCCACAGCATGGCTCCATGCCAACCTCTATGAGTTTTTAAGAGGAAATATTTTGGACCATATAGTATAATCCTGGTCATCTTATTATTTCTCACTGATAAACTCTTTCTCTTTAACATGCCATTACCTGCCCCCTAAAAAATGCAAGGAGTTTTAAAGCATTTTTCTTTAAAATACGTTCACAGTGTTGTGCAACCACCTCCAGAGCTTTTTCATCACCACAAACAGAGATGCATTCTCATTGTCACCTCTCCTGCAGATGCTTCTGCACTGCTTCTGGTATTTACAAACTGGAAAGTCCAGCTCTTTAAGATCATCTGTGGCCTCACCTTCAGGCTGGAAGCTGCATTTTCAGTTCATTGTTTTTCTTTTTGATAAAGAACAATGTCCTACCCATAATACTGTGTAGTATATTTAGAGATAATTAAGTCACTCAGTGGCCATTTATTAGTGAAAGAACCCAGCCCCCCTTCATCTTTCCTTGTTCCTTAATCTGTTCAATTGGCTTTTTCATTATCTCCTCAAGTTTCTCAATGGCCTCTTTAACATAGGACAAAACGGGACATGATAGTGTAATAGTGTAGCGGTAGGATTGGACCCCATTTCTTTCAGACGCCCTGTGTCCATTCTGCTCAGGTAAGTCACCGAACGTGACATCCCTGAGTGATGGGTTTGAGACTGGCGCGGGGAGAGAGAGTCAGTCAGTTCTGATCAAGAGGATAGTTGCCTCAGGGGTTGGGAATTCTGGAGGGATAGGTTTGACTCACTTTACCAGCTTGGAATCATATGAGGTCAGATCTTTTTAAATATCTACTAATAAATGAATGTTTTGAGTTCTTTACATGCTAGATTAGTAGAAGATCTAATATCTCTCTATAAGATGTCCTCCACCCCCTAAATTATCCATGACCCTCAGGGGCTTACTCAGTCCAGAGGGGCCAGCCTACTCGTGGATAAAACCAAAATATGGCTTCATGCTCAAACTCATGCACCCAGTAGCTGCGTTTCCCATTGCCTGCTTTTATCCAGATTTTCTTCATCGAAACTAGACTCCATATCTCCACTCCCTTGCATGCATGTTTTTCCAGTTCTCCTACTGGTGTTTATATCTATTCAGTGACCCAAGCTGGAAACCTTGGGGTTATCATTCATGGATTCTTCCCGCCTCCACCCCCAGCAAATCCAGCTAATCCCAAGCCCATTTGATTAAACTTCTTCAGTGTCTCTCTCTCTCTCTCCATCTCGCTCCATTTCCATCCTGAAAATCCTGGTAGACTGACGTTGCCATTCACAGAGCCTTCCGTGATAACATTCTAGCCAGGTTCCTCTATGCCATACCGGTTTCACCATAATTTTGCCAGAATTGTTTTTGTGTAGGATATATCTGATTATTTACTATCCTTATATGAAAAGAGACCTGAATCTTAAGTTACCCAGTGATAACCCATTGGCTCCAGTGTACAATTCTTCTGCCTTCACCCTGCATGTGGTGCCCTAGCAGGGTGGCCTCACTATGCGCTCCAGCTCCGTTGCCTGCCTCATCTCCTATGAATCTTAAACTCCTGGCTCGCAGAACTGCTGCTTGGGAAGAGGGATGCAAGGTAATACACCTCTGTGAGCTTCTTCCAGGGGTTAAAAGAGCCGTGTTTCGGGGAGCAAGAGGAAAGCCAGGTTCTCCTCTGCAGCCTCAAAGGAAGGGAGAATGAATAATTTTCATGCGGGGCCAACAGGGAAGGCAGGATCCACAGGGAAGAGGCGGGTCTAGCTCTAGCAAGGAAGCAGAGCGTGCCATCTGCAAACAGGGGGGCAGTTTACCAAGTAGAGTTCCAGGGCACACAGTTAAAAGAGGCAGGGGTCAGTGGGCCGGGAAAACCAGGACCATTATTTGGAGCAAGAGATCAATATAAAAGGATTCAGGTAAGAGATGTTGAGAGAGTTGGGGTACCTTTCAATTTGTACCCGATGATCTTTGTATCTCTGGAGCCTAGGAGGTGCTTGATAAATATTTGTCAAATAATTTATTTCTGATACGTTTTCAGTCTTCCCTGTTATTTGTTTACTATCTTAGTGTTGCGTTCTGGACTTCATTCTGTTTTTGATAAGCAGGGTTTTTTTAATTACTTAAGAAAGGTTTATGGAACGCCTGCTGTACATTAGCACTGGTACATTTGTAGGGCACAGACAGGGTGACTGTTACCAGGAATTTTCCTAATAAGGAGGCATATAGATGGGCACACATGCAACTGCTCTGTTTTGGATGGAACTCTTTGAGTTTCATTATTAACTTAACTGATAGCATTGTCCTCAGCAGCCACCAGAGGCCCGGACAAGTGCCAGCAAGAGATCCACAAGCACAGGTCCCTTTGGGGCAGGCTCCCAGTCAGGGGTCGGACTGTGGGCCTTTAATGGCACAAGCACAGTGTGAGAGTTTAAGAAGTTTTAGTACTTATGGACCCCGGGGAGGGTAGCACACCCCTGGAGGCCACACACACGCAGGCCAGAGCGGGTGTCTGCCCCATGTGGCCTGGCAGGGGAGAGAAAGGAACCCATGGCCAGTACCTTTATTGGGTCCAGAGCGTTATCCACACAGGTTTCCTGTAGGGAGCTGTAATTCATGGGCTGAAAGCAAGCAGGCAGGGGTTGCAGGAGGTCACTCAGCGACTGAGAGGGAGTTACTGTGGCATATCTGCACAGTCCACGTGGGGTGCAAGGGCCAGCAGGCTGCATCTAGCTGTCCTGTAGGGAGGTGGTCACCAGGCAGCAGTTGTATAAAGCTGATGTCTGGATCGACCACACTGAGGAACCGGGAGTGCAGCGAATAGAACTGGAAACTGTCAAGGGTGACAGAGCCTTGCTTCTGGAATGAAAAACTCCCACTTATATTTAAAATGGATGCCAAGGCAACACAAAATGATGAGCATTCGCTGCACTCTCTCTCAGTTTGTTTGTTACCATCTTTTATCGTGATTACCTGTGAATAATCGTGTTCCACGTAGTGGATCCTTCCCTCCTAGCCAAGTTAAGGGCAACCTTGTGTGTTGACTTCTGTGTTGCCCTCACATGTATCAGATCCTGCAAGACTATGTGTCATAAATTCTTTGCGTAAAGGAACGTGATCTAGTAGAGTCTTGAAATTTAGTGAGGGGGAGAATCCAGCATACAATCTTTTTAGATCTTGTCCAAGGAGTATAGTTACTAAACTCCAAAGGATTTCAGGCTGCCAATAAGGTAGTCACGTGGCATGGATCCATTTTAGTAAGATTCCTTTGTGTTTGTTTTTCTGAAAAGGATTCAGCGTCTTGGAAAGAGATCAGGAAAAATGCACAGGTTTCCTTATAGCATCCTGTCTCGCTAGAGAGCTCGTTGCTCCAAAGAGCTTCCTTTTCCTGGTATCTATACCTGGAGAAGTCATTGACTAATGATAACTGGAAATACCAGTAGAAGTCAGTGAATGCTTCCAATCTCAATCTCCTGTATACTTTTCACCAATTTTTTTTTTTATCAAAGAACTTGGATTCCACTATGATAGAAGAAGCCTGTCTTCCGAAAAGGACTTCTAGAGCCACAAAGTGCTTGGTTAACACCTTGGTGATGGTGAAAATCCTGTGCCCCTCCTGGACTACCATGTGCCCCTCCCCGGGTTAGGGTTCAGACTCTTGCTTTAGGATTTAGGAAACCAGAGAATATTCAGTGGCTTGGCTAGTATCCAGTAGCAGGTGGGCGTAGTTAGGAGGCGAGACCAGGTGTGGGTGTAATAGCCCAGCCTGTCCTGTCCCACACTAACACTGCACCACACTCAACGAGCTTCTACGGCTCGGCCTGCTCATCTGCTCCCAGCACCCACTGTCCCCAGATTATTTAGGTTGACTCAGCTTCTTTGTCATTGTCACTTGGAGTCTTCAGGCCTCGTTTCTGATCCTCTGCCCCACCTGCCCCAAATGTGCAAGGAAACCTCTTTCTTCCTGTCTGCCAAAGCCTGTCACTCATCATTCCCTGCTGTGGAGTAGAGCCCCAGGACTCCCTCCTCCTAGGCAGCAGCTGCAGGGGTGACCTGCTCAGCTGCTTCTGCTGCTTTGGGTGAAGAGAGTGTGACTCAGTAAACCCCAGAGACCATTCCTGAACGTCCCGTCATCTCCCCTAAGAAACTTTCCACACTCTGCCCTTCTTCAACCTTCCCTGCCGACTCTCAGCTCACCTCTCAGCTCTCCTCTCAGCACAGACTTCTGCAGTTACTGCAGTTTTCTGTGTTCCATCCTTTTAGTTGTTGTTTGTTTGTTTGTTTGTTTGTTTTGAGATGGAGTCTCACCCTGTTGCCCAGGCTGGAGTGCAGTGGCACAACCTTGGCTCACTGCAACCTCCGCCTCCCAGGTTCAAGTGATTCTCCTGCCTCAGCCTCCGAGTAGCTGGAACTACAGGCGCGCGCTGCCACGCCCAGCTAACTTTTGTGTTTTTAGTAGAGACAGGCTTTCACCATGTTGGCCAGGCTGGTCTCAAATTCCAGATCTCGGGTGATCCACCCACGTCAGCCTCCCAAAGTGCTGGGATTACAGGTGTGAGCCACTGTGCCATCCTTTAAAGGATGTGTTCCATCCTTTAAAACATGCCACAGTGAGCTAGGCCGTGAGCTTACTTCCTCTGAGGAGGGACCTGCTTCTGGCCTTCTGCCCTCTTCCTTTCAGCACTGTTTCTTCCTCCTCAGTCCCCCGACGTCCTGATTTTTTGTGTATTTGTTTCGTTTTGTTTTGCCTTTGGGAGACATGTTTCTGCACACGGCAGGCGCAGCCCACCGCCAGAACCCCTCACACCTGCCACCTTCCTCCCTCATTGCCACCTGCAGCTTAGGATGCTGGTTGTCAAAATGAAAATACAAAGTTATGCAAAACTCAGGTTGTATTTTCAGCCATGTACTTTTCATAGGCATAAGTTCTGGAACTCTGAAACTGAGGTCATGACAAAGCAGATTTGCCCTCAGAAGGTTCCAGAATCCTTGTGACGCCTTCCTGTTGCTAATGGTAGCACTGTATCTATCCTAGCATTATATCTACAGAGCAGAGGCAGGACCTTTGGCAGGAGACACATCCCTTCTCCTGTGATGTGTCAGTTAGTGTAGAGAAGCAAGCTGGCATGGACTTGAGAGCCGGGGTGGGTATCTGCCCCATGTGGCCTGGCTATGGCTGCTCTGTTCAGGGAGCCTGGGGTCAGGGGTGGCGGCCACCAACCTGTGCCAGAGAAGGCTAGTCTCTGCATGGACTTCAGTGCAGGCATACCCGGCCTGATGGGGAGGGCTGTGGGTGGAAACCACACAGAAAAGATGCCTCCTCTTGCTTGAATTGTGGTGTTAACTAGCCGGGAACGTATGTGTCTGGTTGCTGAAATTAATACCGCATTTGCCTGTGGGCTTATCTTTCAGGATTCCTTTGGGACCTCTTCCAGACACACCCTGTTCCGTAGCCTCTCGAGAAAGTAGTAAATTTTGCTGACTCTGCGTTATTGAAATCTCGCTTGGTCGTTCATTCTCATAAAATCTGGAATATGATTTATTGTTTATATATTGTAATTTTCACAGGGGTTTGAAGTAGAAATAGTTTTATCTCAAATTAGAATATTTCTCCTCTCAAGCATATGCCAACAACACATAGCAATATTGTAAATTTGGAAATCTGTGTTATTTCCGTGTTCACTCATGTTCAATTAGACAGAATTAATATATTCTGTAATGTTTTTAGTATCATTTTTAAAAACTAAAGATATTTACTTCAAAATAGTGAACAGTAAATTCAAAATAAACTTCCTTATTTAGTAACATAACACATATATTAATAAGCTAAATATCTAACTGGAAAGCACAAAACGGCTAGGTTATTGTGCAGTTACCAGTTCTACAGAGAAACCTGGCTTATCCTAAGTGCAATCATTATGTTGATCCATATATATATATACATATCCTTATATATACATATATTGATCATTATAATTGATCCTAAGTGCAATCATTATATTGAATGTGCTGTGTGTATTTGTAGGAGCTGTATTTTTCTTAACAGATGCTGTCTGTTAGCCTTTTCTTTATCTTACAGTTTAAATTTCAAGCATTTATTAGAGTAACTGCATGAATGTTTACACACACATACCCTGGCCTAAGATTTTTTTTTTTTTTGAGACAGGGTCTGCCACTATCACCCAGGCTGAAGTGCAGTGGCACAATCTCGGCTCGCTGCAACCTCTGCCTCCGGGGCTCAAGCAGTCCTTCCACCTCAGCCTCCAAGTAGCTGGGACCACAGGCACACACCACCATGCTGGGCTAACTTTTGTACTTTTTGTAGAGACGGGGTTTCTCCATATTGCCCAGGCTGGTCGCAAACTCCTGAGCTCAAATGACCCTCCCATCTCAGCCTCCCGAAGGGCTGGGATTACACGTGTGAGCCACCATGCCCAACAGTGGCCTAAGATTTTATCTTTTGGGTTTGAGAAAAAAAAATTCATTTCTCTTCATCTTTATGAAGATACTGGCTGATGCACAGTTTAAGAAGATAGTGTGTTTGAAATAGCTCCTAACAGATATCAGCATCCTCTGATATTATTATTGATAGAAAATATTTTCTTTTTCTTTTTTTTTTTTTTTTTTTTTGAGATGGAGTTTCACTCTTGTTGCCTAGGCTGGAATGCAATGGTGCCATCTTGGCTCACCACAACTTCTACCTCCTGGGTGAGCCGGGTTCTCCTGGCTCAGCCTTGTGAGTAGCTGGGATTACAGGCATGTGCCACCACGCCTGGCTAATTTTGTATTTTCAGTAGAGACAGGGTTTCTCCATGTTGGTCAGGCTGGTCTCGAACTCCCGACCTCAGGTGATCTACCCGCCTCGGCCTCCCAAAGTGCTGGGATTACAGGCGTGAGCCACTGTGCCCGGCCAAAAAGATTTTCTATCTGTGCAATATTACAGACATCTTTAATATTTATTAAGTACTCCCAGTGCAGTATAGAAGTTCTTTCATTTTAAAAAAATGTCCTGAGACGGGAGAAAAATCTTAAAAAAAGAAGTCAGTGTAGGTGAAGTGGGATTTCAAAGTGGCCTGTGACCTTTCGCACACAGTTACGCTGCAGGGGAGGTGGCAGTGCGTTTGGCATGGGAGGAGGGCACGGTGGGGAGGTTGCACTTCCGCCCTTCCAGTGCTGGTACCGCCAGTGACCTCGAGTGGCAGGGACCCCTCGGTCATCACCAGGCTGATGTGATGGGAGTCAGAGTGCCAGAAAGACAAAACCCCCTCGCTTGCCATGCTGCCACACTCGGCGCCTCTCTGTCTCCTCGGCCGTCCTCTCTGAAGGTGATGTCTCCAGCGGCAGCGTGTCATCCTGGAGGACATTGTGTCAGCAGTGAAGCCCTGCATCCCTGCCAGTCATCCTGAAGGACATTGTGTCAGTAGTGAAGCCCTGCGTCCCTGCCAGTCCAGGCTTTCTTCCTTGTCCTTGCCCCGCCTGGTGAAGCTGACAGACAGTGAGCAGAGCGCTTTAGTGACCTGCCCATTCCTCACGGGTGGCTGTGGCCCATCAGAGCAGAGGGGTTCCGCGGTCCAGTTCTATCCTTGACCTTCTGTCTCAGCCTGTTTCCTCATCACCTACTCATTCAGAAAATGCTTCCAAAGAGGGAATGTCATGTTTGTTCCTGATGACACACTCTCAAGAAACCTCTTTCATCATAAGCGACTTGCAGAAAGAGATTAAAATGAGAGGCACCAGGAATAGGATGGGTTTTTTCAGACCGTAGTCAGTTTTCCTGCCTTTGCGTTTTACAGATTAAGTTCATAGAGTCAGTCATCTTTCCCATTTCCAAAGAAGGGTTGTTTTTCTTTCTCTTCTTTTTGGTTAGTGAACTGTTTTCTCTTTCACTAATTTAGAGTGCTAACTTTGGCCCTGTTTCCATTAGGAGATGAAAGCATGGAAATAAAAAAGCAAATTACAGGGATGAGAAGATTGCTGAACGACAGCACTGGGCGGATCTATCAGCGAGTTGGCAAAGAAGGAGAGAAACTAAAAGAAGAGCCCCAGGACCTGGATTTAGTCTGGCCTCCACGTTTGAACTCCTCTGCTGAGGCCCCGCAAAGCCTCCACCCGTCTTCACGTGGTGTGTGGAATGAGCTACCGCCCCAGAGTGGACAGTTCTCAGGGCAGTATGGCACCCGTTCTAGAACCTTCCAAAGCCAGCCCCACCCTACCACGAGCTCCAATGGTATGGTTGTCAACAAACATTCAGAAGGCTCTCATGGGGGTTTGTACTGTTCTATTTCTAAATATTCAGTGTGTTGAGTTCAATTTATTAAACCCTCCCATAATTACCTGCCTTTGCTGAGTTACTTTAAAAGACAGGGAGACACAAAGGAAAGAGTTGAAGACTATTAAAAAACAGAATTGAGAATTAGGAAAGACAGGGGGTTCTATGTTATAAGTGAAGATTTCCTGGTAGAGATTTTAGCCCTTTAAGAGGTTAAAGCGATCATTTTGTGCCCATGTATGGATATTATTGTCACAAAAAAAACCTGAACATTAGGGCAGAAAGAGCTCCCCACTGTCTTTAAAAGAAGCTTCCTGGTCCTATGGTGTGTTACTAACATATCCTCTTGGTTACTCCTTCACCTTACTCATTATCAGAAGAGTCCCAGATAAAGGCGGGGGCGGACAGGGGTGGGGGGCCGATAACCCAGCATCCCACGTCAGTACTGAACCCAGTGATCCATATTTTGTAACATGCTTCATTAGCAATGGAAAGTATTCCTTTAAAGTAAAATTTTCTTAATTTAAGTTTCCTAATTGTTAAGAAAAGAATCAAATGACAATTTTTTTTCAAAGCTTAAGGAGAAAAACCTGATGCTTTTTGTGGTCATATTAGTTTTCTATCCGGCCACACTGGATGCTATAATATTTGTTCTATAAACTCTGTAGAGATGTGCAGATCTATAGTTTTCACAAAGAGAACAAGAAAAAGGTAAGAAAGCATTTTCAGTTTCCTTAAGAAGTTAAGGATTTTTTTCCATTCATTTTCATTTCACAATATCCTTCAAGAAAAAGAGAACTGTTTTGACTTTTTTTAAAAACACAATTTGTGGTTCAGAGGCATGAAAAGCCATCCTGAGACATTGATGAGACAGCGAAGGACCCCAGAAATGTATGGGTGTCTTCTCTGCCTCTCAGTAGTACATAAGCCAGTATCAAAGTTCCAATGCTGGCATGCCTCCAGGTTAGAGGGACACAGCTCTTTAAAGACTCCTCCATAAAAATAAAAAGTCAGTTCTCTTTAAAATTAGAAAATGATTTATAACAAGCTGAAAAGGGTTGGTTTTGTCTTCTAAAAATGATAAAAGATGGTACTTAGAATAGTGACTAGAAATATTCTTTAAGACCTTTCTAACTCTACTACCATGGAAGAGACAATAAGAGAAATAAAATACCCTTAGGTATGTATGAAGTTAATAAACCCCACATCAGTAAGTTTTGGGTGAACAGTGTTCTGTTTCCCAGTATACAGTAGGGACAGTGGATTTACTTTGAAAAGTATGAAGTTAGTAAAAGTTACAAACATAAATTCCCCCATATCAGTTTGAAAATAGATATTTTATGTTTTCAATAGAAATATGGCTAGGCGTGGTGGCTCGTGCCTGTAGTCCTAACGCTTTGGGAGGCCGAGATGAGTGGATTGCTTGAGGCCAGGAGTTCGAGACCAGCCTGGCCAACATGGCGAAACCCCATCACTACTAAAAAATACAAAAATTAGCCGGGCGTGGTAGCGCATGCATGTAGTCCCAGCTACTTGGGGGGCTGAGGCATGAGAAGCGCTTGAGCCTGGGAGGCAGGGGTTGCAGTGAACCAAGATCATACCAGTGCACTCCAGCCTGTGCAGCAGAGCGAGACCCTGTCTCAAAAAAAAAAAAAAAAAAAAAAGAAAAAGAAATATATTACATATAACTGTGACTACTTTGGTATTTCATTGGGATTATTTATAATTTTAAAGTTGTAACATTACAATTTTGCTACAATTTTGAATGTAAATAATTGTACCACTACAATCACTAAGTTATCCTGAAGTATTTCATGGTTTTGCTCTGGTGAATTTTTCTATAGTATTCCTAAATAATGCATATTACAGGATTTAAGGTATATAAAGTATAATAAAACATATAATTGGAACAAAACCATGGAACTTACCTTGCTGGCCTGTGAGACAATGTGAGCGCTGGAAGTCTCTAAACTGCTCCATTTTATGGTGGTCAGGTGAACAGGTGCTGGAGGGAACCCACTGTAAGAGCAATGTCCAAATGTCCCATTTTATTCTAAGGACAATAGAAGATACTTGCTTACCTATGAGAGAAACAGAATAAGATAGGTTTACCAAGGAAAAGGCATTAAATTTAAACAGTGCAAAAGAGGCTGTGGCAAGGGAAAGATAAGACATGGGAATGGAGAAAAGAGGTAGAGAGATTTTCTTTGTGAAGCTGAAGAAAAGCCAGCCAGCCCACCAATACCCTCGAACGCATCCAATTCGAATATATCCTCCCATCCCTGCTCCTCTGTGCTTCCCCACCCCAAACGCCACACCCAGAGAGTATTCTAAAAGTTTTCATGTGTGCACAGTTCTTTGTTTTTGAAATAATGTGCTTAATATCAAAACTATTTTCAATAGAACTCATATAATTTTTAATATGAACTCTTAAACACAGCTACCAAATTTTTTTTGCAAGGCTGTCCTCAGGGCTCCTTTTTTGTGTGAACTAGCATGAGTGTGTTTCGAGTGAGTTTTTGAGGTGTTGTTATTTGAGATGAACAGCTCTGACAATAGGGAGGCCTGCTGTGCCCACTCATTGTGTGTGTGTGTGCATGCGGGCTCCCGCACCGCGCCACAGCACGCACGTTACAGTATGGAAGCCTGGATAATTAGATAAAGTCAGACCCCCAGATTTAGGTTGTGATAATTAGTGGGTACGTTTTCCTTAGGCACAGCTTCATCATAATTGCACATGCTTCAAAATCCTGCCAAGATACTTTCTTTTTTCTCTCCACCTCTTTATGATTTTTTTTTTTTTTTTTGGTTTGTTTGGAGTATGTCATTCTTTTCTTTCATGCTCAGGAGAACTTCCAGTGGTGAATTCATCAGCTGGATCAAACTGCTGTACTTGTAACTGCCAGTCAACGTTGCAGGCCATTCTACAAGAACTCAAGACCATGAGGAAATTAATGCAAATTCAAGCAGGTACAAGGATCAGGCCTCGGAATGAGTCCTTTGATTTTTAATGCATATCTGACATCTTCCGTTGGAATGTTCATTGTGCTTTTATTAAAGCCTTCTTCTCACCTTGCTGTCTTGCTGTGCCTTTTCAAGTATCTGTTTTTTCAGCTTTCTCTACAATCCATTTTTCCTTTAGCAAATCAAACATATTTTGTCTTGCTACTGATACAGCTCATATAATTATGTGTATGTACTCGATAGACTTCATTCCATGATCTCCTAGTACTTCACAAATGTCAGTTAATTAAATTTGGGAACAACTGTG
This sequence comes from Homo sapiens, assembly GCF_000001405.40. Lineage (NCBI taxonomy): Eukaryota > Metazoa > Chordata > Mammalia > Primates > Hominidae > Homo > Homo sapiens. The sequence goes on along the minus strand of NC_000010.11, from coordinate 13,496,464 downwards.
TATGGAGGGGTCCTTTAGGAAGCATGGGCTTCAGTGTTCAAGCACTAAGCAGATAAGAAATGTGGAGCCCCAGGCTATGCTTTGTGGCTTTTCTCTCTCCTATTCAGGATGCGGAAGCTCAGAAATCCGCCGTGTTCTGTCGTCTTTGTTTATGTGACTCCTTTTTGTTTTCACTGCCATCAGGCAAGTTGAGGGACGGAAGAGCAGTGGATTTGTAATTTGGGATTGGATGCCAATTTCTGCTTTTGGAGCTGTGTGGCGCATCTGAGCTTCCTATTTCACGTCTGTAAATGGAGAATTCATATCTAACTCACAGGGCTGTTGTCAAAATAGAATGATGTAGTAGCTGTCAATGAACTTTATAAGGCATGGTACAAGCCTAAGCTGTTTCATTAGTGTGGTCTTAAAGTCCATGAAGCGTTCTATAGAAGTCTGGAAGTCTACGTCTTCATTATAGCAGCTGTATTTTCTGATCTTCACAATTGAGGGAAAACAGAATTGTTTTTGTCACAGGTACAAGAAATAAATCATTGTATTAAGTTTTCCCTCTTGTCAAGGGACATCACCACTTGATCTAAGCCATGTCGTGACTGGCTTTCCTGCCCTTTCATCAGGATGGTAGTCCGGAAGGTCGTCACTCAGAAGCTGTTCAGGATGCCATTTAGTGAATTCTAGTATAATTTTAATATTCAGTGATGTGGTTTTGATATAAAAAGCTTAATTAATACTTAGATATATCAGTCACCCAAGATCACATTAAAGTAATGTGAGCTACTTTCTGAAAAACAGCATCTTTTTATTTGAGATGGAGTTTCACTCTTGTTGCCCAGGCTGGAGTGCAATGGCATGATCTCGGCTCACCGAAACCTCTACCTCCCAGGTTCAAGCGATTCTCCTGCCTCAGCCTCCCTAGTAGCTGGGATTACAGGCATGTGCCACCACGCCTGGCTAATTTTTGTATTTTTAGTAGAGATGGGGTTTCTCCATGTTGGTCAGGCTGGTCTCAAACTCCCGACCTCAGGTGATCTGCCCGCCTCAGCCTCCCAAAGTGCTGGGATTACAGGCGTGAGCCACCGCGCCGGGCTAAACAGCATCTTTTTAAGCACTGAATTTGGTTTTACCCCAAGGAAGTATTTTGCTCAGGTCAGTAAGCATTGGACTCACCTTGTTCCACTACGATAATCTGTGTTCTTATTAACCTGGAGGAGGTTAACATCTCCTAAATAAGGAGCTCAGAAAGAAAGGTTACTTTATGATGTTCGGATTCTTTTCTCCGAGGAGGAATTTGTTAGCACTTAAGAAAATATGCATATGAAATTGTAATGATTTGTTTTGTCACTTAAGCTCCTTACTACTGAAATGGCAAACTACAAATTGCAACCATTTAAATCCTTGACGGAAGCCTTTTTAGAATCTATTAAGTAAATGCCACTTTGTCGCTATGTTTTCTTTTCTGAACCTTTGCAGATTAGGGAGGTAAACGATTCCAAAGCTGTAGGATGGCACAAAGGATAAACTGAATAAATTACTCTCCTTTAATTTTCTTAAACTTAAAAATTTGTGTCATGTGGGTAGATTTACTTAAGGTTTAATGCCTGAAGACTTAGATTTAAATT